>NC_000004.12:111951684-112103199 GCF_000001405.40 Homo sapiens
CATAAAATGAGTTAGGGAGGAGTCCCTCTTTTTCTGTTGTTAGGAATAGCTTCAAAAGGAATGGTCCCAGTTCCTCTTTGTACCTCTGGTGGAATTTGGCTGTGAATCCATCTGGTCCTGGGCTTTTTTTAGTTGGTAGGCTGTTAATTACTGCCTCAATTTCAGAACTTGTTATTCATCTACTCAGGGATTCGACTTCTTCCTGGTTTAGTCTTGGGAGGGTGTATGTGTCCAGAAATTTATCCATTTCTTCTAGGTTTTCTAGTTTATTTGCGTAGACATGTTTATAGTATTCTCTGATGGTAGTTTGTATTTCTGTGGGATCAGTGGTGATATCCCCTTTATCATCTTTTATTGTGTCTATTTGATTCTTCTCTCTTTTCTTCTTTATTAGTCTGGACTTTAGCTATTTCTTTACAGATAGGAGAAACCCCCAGAATTCCTTGGGGAAATTCCTTTTTCTTCAAAGAAACACTCTGAACTTTGAATAAGAATCCACCATTACTTAGCAAAAAAGGAATTATTGGTCAGCATCACAGGGCAGCAGTAGCAGGCAATGTCAGCTCTGTCCCTCCACGTTCCCCTGAGCTTCTCCCACTATCTCGCTTCTCCCAAAGACTTCCTCTTTCCTGGCCTTACTCTTAAAAGCAACTACGTGGAAATTTTAAATTCTTGTTTTTAAAATTAAAAAACAAATTGTTGGTTTCTCTTTTTTTAATATGTGAGTCTGTAAAATAGTTTTCCTATAAGTCAGCAATTTCCTACAAAGAAAGGTTTCCTACTATTGTCACAATGTTTTTTACAGTTTCCACCCCTACTCAATGACATAGCCTCATTGATCTACTCCTACTCAATGACATAGACTCATTGGTCTACTCCTTTGCTAAATTTTTACTCCAGGTCAAAATACGTTCATATGTTTATAAATTATCAGTAAGGGAAACAAAAGGAGACAAAAGAGCACAAATGGGTGCAAAGCTGTTAATATGATAGTATCATAATAAAAAAATCCAATTAATTAGGTAACTCTAAATAAATTTAGTTTCAGAGGCCTGCTAAAATTTCCAAGCTCTTTGGTATGCCTGCCATCCTCACCCCAGTCTGAGTCAGAAATGAAAATATTTAGATATGTTCCCTTCTAAGAGTAGCATCTACCCAGAAGTAAGCTACTTTTTAGGAATATTTGATTTTGGCCTCACATAAGGGTTCCTGCAGAGATAAAAGAAAAACAACACAAAACCACCCAAGGAACCACAGTTATTTGGCTTTGTAGCCACAGTAGTTTATCATTTCTCCTAGCTACATGCACTATACTTGAACAGTTAGAATAGTTTTCATTTATTACATGATTAATCTACAGCCCTAGCCCACTTAAGTCTATGGTCCATTATACCTCAAAGCAGTAGAAGCTAAATTAGTATGCCATTTTAGAAACAACCTACGTGAGCTTAGTAAAGCTGGATTTACCATACTCAATCAATAAATGCATGTTCCTTTTGTACTCATGTGGTTAATTTGTTTTTAGTTGTGCTCCATTGTTTTCATAAATTTAGTAAATAAATGAGCATAGGTGCAAACATCATGATTGTTTACAGCACAAATATTATGCAGGTTGAGGGAGTTTTAGAAGACCCACTGGCAATCCTTAAAGCTAAAAAGTATTTAAAGTTCAGACATTCTTTTCTTTGCACTTCTGTTCTTGATGTCCTTGTTTTCTGAATATCACAAACCCAACTGTTTAGCTCATGTGGCATGGAAGCTGAATGGGCATACCACAGAAGTTCTTAATAAATAAAAAATAAAATAAAATAATTTCTGCTTCTAATTTATTTCCCCACTAAAGAAAAGGCAATTTTATATTTGCTTAGGAAAAACCACTTTGATTATTACTTCCGTGGGAGGATTTCTTTATTATCTTATTGAAAAACAACAGCTTATAATTCTTTCTTCATGTACAGGTCTATTCAGATTTTCTTCTAGATAACATGTAGAATACAAGAAAAAACAAAAACTGCCTTAACTCGTCTTTGATGTATTAACGATGTAGAAATTTGTTTAAAAATGATTCTGAACAGCTAGATGCCTGTTGTTCCCTCTAGTTCTGTGACTATCTGAATTCGATGCCTTAAGTAAAAAGTAGTAAATAAGTAGGTTGGGCATTGTGGCTCATGCCTATAATCCCAGCATTTCGGGAGGCTGAGGCAGGAGGATCACTTAGAGGTCAGGAGTTTGAGACCAGCCTGGCCAACATGGTAAAACTCCATCTCTACTAAAAATACAAAAACTAGTCAGGCATGGTGGCACGTGCCTGTAGTCCCAGCTACTTGGGAGGCTGAGGCAGGAGAATTGCTTGAACCTGGGAGGTGGAGGTTGCAGTGAACCAAGATGGTGCCACTGCACTCCAGCCTGAGCAACAGAGCAAGACTCCATCTCAAGAAAAAAAAAAAAGGTAGTAAGTAATCAATTAGATTCAACACTTTCCCCAAAGTTTTAGGTCCCCCTGAAAAAGAAAATCACAATACATACATAACATGCTTATCTTTTTGTCTCTCATTCTCAAATAGACTGGAAACAGACAAAAATCAACAAAGATCAGAACTACTTGCATTATAAGCCAAATAATTAAATATTGAGAATTTTAAAAGCCTTAAGATTTTAAAATGTGGACAAATGTATTTTTTTATATTTCCACAACAATATGCAGTTACCTAATGACTCCAGCCCTGAGATTAATCTATTAGTCTTAAAAATTCCCACATTTCCTCTTATTTTTGCTAAATTTCACTGACTGCATACTTGTGCAACCCACAACAAAATCCACCAGAACCAGAAATTTTTAGAGCTGGAAGACTTCGAGAGCTGGCCATTGAACATATAGCACAGGGCAAAGCAGTGTCTCTAATACTCTAATGCTGGATATCCTAAGGTACTTGCTCAAGGTCACACAGTGGTTAGTGGCCAAAGCAGGACTAAACCCATCTTCCAGAGAGTCCTGGTTGGGTGGCAGATGTTTCTGACTTTCTGCCACTACAGGAGGTTTGGGGAAGAGGTATGTTAATCATCTCTACTCTACTGCTTAGGGCAAGATGTTGCATCACTTAATCAGAATGCATTCCTTCCTTTAGCAAAATCTCAAAATGACATATAGTAGAATACCCAGTCTCTACGGAGAAATTTAATTAAACTGCAGTCCCTTTATACCAGCACAAATATTGTGAGGGAAAACAACTCAACTCCTCTGACATTTTTGCAAATAGGTTTAGTGGAATCCATTCTGTTTACTTTTACTGACATTTGTTTTTCAGTCAATTATCTCACATGGTTATTTTTTTCCTTTCATAATTTATTGCTAGCAACCTATCCGTAAGGATAAATACAAGTAATTCCTTTCTTTGGTACAAGCACCTGAGTTTAGGTTAATAATAGCTGGAGAAAATAAACACTCATTTTACCCCTCCTCTTTCCTTTTCCTGATAGTTCTAGTTTGCTTATAAATCAGACTGGTGGCAACACCATAATCCAAGCAGGAAGAATTTAACGTCAAATGTGTGAGTGGTTTCTCCTCACATAGCCCTAAGACGTTGGAAAATAACAAACTTTACTCGATCAGTCATCAGCCAGATAAATAAATATGACAAGCATTTTTTTGGCTCATACCCATCTCCCTTCAATTTTTGCACACTCTTACTTTAGAACTTTCTGTAAAGTCTTGAAAAATTCAGAAAGCCTTCATCACAAAAAGTTCTACTTTTTTATTCCGTGGAGTCTTATTGACTGGACACAGAAAAATTAATTTTTAAGAGGTTGAAAAATATGCAGTGTACAGCAATGTTTCTCAAACTCTCCCATGCTCACAATGCTCCTGGAGACCGTGTTAAAATGCAGACTCAAAGTCGGTAGGTCTGGGATGGGGCCTGAGTTTCTGCCTTCCTAACGCGCTCTCAGGTGATACTACTAGCTCATCACAGACTCCGCTTTGAAGAGAAAGGGTGTATAGGAAAGGGCATTTATTCTGGAGCTGAGGAGACCCCGGCTGACATTGGACCTCATTGGTGCAGTGAGGACCTGAAAGAGCCCAGCCCTCTGCCAGAGCCCTCTGTTCCCCCTGCAACACTCACTGCTTCACTACCGCCATCTTGCTCCCACCACCAGGACTCCTCCCATATTGCCCTTTATCCCTCTCCACCACAGGCTGCCCCCAGCTCCCAAAATGACTCTCAACTCCCACAGTCCCTCTTGGACTCTGAACGTAGTCTGTCCCCTTTTCTCACCCCTCCTCAAGCTCTCAAAATCCTTCCACGCTGTCCTCTGAAACTCAGCCATCAACAAAATTCCCTGTATCTCTTCTCCATTATCTGAATGCTCTCTTCTCCTTCCTGCTTTAAGGGAAACCTGGCTTTCCACTGAAGAAACAGCCACTCTTGCAGTTCTCTGTAGTGGAATTCACCTTGTCTTTCACGATTCTTATACCTATAAGGCCTAGAAGTAGAGGACATGTCCTCCTTGCTCCTTATTGCTACTTTCAAACCATTTTCCAGTCCTCTCTCATTTCTAAAAACTCCTCATTTTGAATCTCTGTCATCAAATTATATCACGCATGACTCCTCATTGTTCCTATCACCAAAACCCCAGGAATTCCCCCTTATTTTCTCTACCCAACCTAGCCACTCTCTCCACGGTCATCACCCTAGGCCTTGTTACTATTAACAAGTACATCTTCTCCTTAGTGTCGGTTACATGCACCCCGCTCTCTGTCATCACTTCCTATCATTTCATCTCATCTCTCCGTACTATACTCCCACCAACACATCTATCACAATTCTTCCATCCCACTGCTTCTGCGAAGCCATTGATCCTATCATTTTTTCCCTGTTTGTCACCCTCATGCCCTCATTCCTCTCCTTGCCCAATTATTTATTTTTTATTTTTTACTTTTTGAGACAGGATCTTGCTCTATCGCCCAGGCTGGAGTGCAGTGTCATGGTCATAGCTAACTACAACCTTGACCTCCTAGGCTCAAGCCATCCTCCCATGTCAGCCTCCTGAATAGCTGGAACTACGGATGTGTGCGACCAAGCCTGGCCAAGTTTTTTATTTTTGTGTAGAGATAGGGTCTCGCCTTGTTTCCCAGGCTGATCTCAAACTTCTAGGCTCAAGCAATCCTCCTGCCTTGACTTCACAGAATGCTGGTATTACAAACATAAGCCATCGTGCCCAGCCCTTACCCAATTTAAATTCCATTATCAATAGCTATTAAATCCTTTGCTTCTCTACAATTTGGTTACTCTTGCTTTGCAAAATGATAATCCTACTTAAATCCAAATTTCAGCCTACTTTACATCTGCCCCCACTGCAGCATGATAGAGAAGAATACAAGCCAGGATGACTGGTCTTGCTTTAAATACTTGGCCATTAACTTCAAGTTGGCCCATCATTCACACTACATGTCTCCAGTTCATACACTCTTCCACTCATTAGTCTGCCATTTTATACTTTCTCTTTACTCAAGTTCCCAACACCTCTTTTCCCACCATTATACTCAGCTGAAAACCTTGCTTCCTATTTTACTGAAAAAAAAAAAGAAAGAAAAATGAAACCAGTAAGAAAACGATTTCCACATACTCCCACCAACACATCCACCCACATGCCTGCATCAGCGAACATCTTTGCCTTCCTGCCTATCACCACTGTTGAATTATCCAATGTTCCTGTCAAAAATTAATCCTTATACTTCTACATTAGATCTTATCACTTCTCACCAATCAAAAACATTATTCCGTCAATTCTTTGTCTTAAATTATCATTTTTTACTCTCTATTGAATTATTCCCATCATAAAGCATTTGTATCTTAAAAAATAAAGAAAACCTTCCCCTTGACCATACTTTTCACTAGTACCCACCGATGTCTTTGCTGCCCTTTCAGCAAAACCTAAAAGAGTTCTCTAATCTCATTAGTTTCAGTGATTCCACCCACCCCATCCTCTTTTACACCCACCCCATCCTCTTTTACACCCACTTTTAGGACCGGGAGTGGTGGCTCATGCCTGTTATCCCAGCACTTTGGGAGGCTGAGGCAGGCGGATCACAAGGTCAGGAGTTCAAGAGCAGCCTGGCAAATATGGTGAAACCCCGTCTCTACTAAAAATACAAAAAAATTAGCCGGGTGTGGTGGCACACGCCTGCAATCTCAGCTACTTGGGAGGCTGAGGCAGGATAATTGCTTGAACCCAGGAGGCGGAGGTTGCACTGAGCCATGATCGTGCCACTGCACTCCAGCCTGGGTGACAGAGCAAGACTCTGTCTCAAAAAATAATAATAATAAATAAAATAAAGTAAAAAACCATTTTTTCCAGGTTTCCTCCTCCACCATGTTTCCAGAGTTCTTTTTCCATGGTCACTAGTGATCTCTGCATTGCTAAATCCCCAACTAGGAATTGACCTAAGACAGCACCTGACACAGTTAACCACTCCCTCCTTCTAAATACAATATTTTTTTTTTCATTTGTCTTCCAGGAAGCCTCTCACATTGGACTTTGCCCTTAGCTCACTGGTTCCTTCATCTCAGATTTCTTTCCTCATTTTCTGCTCCTTGTATTTTTTAATGTTGAAGTATTCCAGGGCTGAGGCCACAGTTCTCTACCTATCAACTGTCTTGACCGTGGTAATCTTACTCAGCCTCATGGCTGAAAATATCACATCTGTGCCAACAACTCCTATATTATATACCATGCATAAATATCTTCCCCAGACTCTAGATTTGTATATCTAATCAGCTCATTTCTCCCAGATACTAGCCTCTTTGTTTATGCTTCAAACACACTAGGAATGGTCCCATCTTAGAATCCCTTGCATCAGCTGTTCCCTATGCCTGGATGTTCTCCCTCCAAACATCCACGTGGTTAGCTCCCTCACCTCCCTCAAATCTTGCCTTGCATACTGTCTTCTCGATCAGGTCTAGTTTATCCATCTATGTAATACTGCAACCTGCCTCCACACCTGAGGTTCTCAAAACCACCTTACTCTACAGTACTTGTTTCCTTTTCTATAGTGCTTACTATCGTCTAACATACTGTTACCATGTATCTGCATATTAGCTGCTATTATTACTGCCTTCTTACATACTATTTATTATGTTTATTCTCTTTCCCAACCCATTACAAAATAAGCTCCATGAGTGTTTACATTTTTGTCCATTTTTTTCACTGTTGTATCCCAAGCACGTAAAAAGCTCCTGGTCATAGTAAATAATCAGTAAATATGTTTTGAGTAAATACATTTTCCCATCTTTAAAATGAGGACAGAAATAATATTATTTTCTGGGTTGTTATAATGATGCACATAGTAAGTGCTAAATAAGTATCTTTCCCACTTCAAGTGGATTTTTGATCCTCCTTCCCAAAATAAGATACAGTCTTTGGACATTTCTTCATAGTAGATTTAGCCAGAAATATCTGGTTCTCTCAAGCAGTGAAATTACTGCCTATCAGCAAAGATGTTGGGTAATGTTCCTAGTTTAGTGCTCTCTTTCCTTAATTTAAAAAACAATACAATTTATTTTTCAAGGAATAATCTCTTAAGTGAACAGGAAGCTTGAGGGAGTTGTAGAGGAGGCTGGAGTGAAGATACCCAGTAGAGGAGGAGGGGACACTTGGCAATGAGTCAGATATCTGAGTCAACGTTAGGTCAAAGGGTCTAAGCACTGTGCCTGCACATAGCAGGCACTCAGTAAATCTCAACTGAGTAAATGAGTGTGGCAGCTGGCTGTAGTAACCCTAGAAACCCCCACATAGCATCCTCCCTCATTGAGCAGGGCTGATCTGTTTAACCAATAGGATATGGAGGAAATGATGGTAACTTCCAAGGCTAAGTCATAAATGACACTGCAACTTCTGCTGTGCACTCTTGGATTTACTGCTCTGTGAGAAGACAGCTATCGTGTCATGAGGAAACTCAAGCAGCCCTACCAAAAAATCCATGTGGCAAGAAACTGAGGCTGTTTGATAACACCCAGCATCAACTTGTCAACCAACTGAGTGAGCCATCTTGGACGGGGATCCTCTAGCCCCAGGCCAGCCTTCAAATATCCATAGCCCTGACCAATGCCTGAATATAACTTCTGTACAGACCCTGATCAAGAACTACCCAGCTAAGTAGCTTCTACATTCCTGGCCCATAGAAACTGTGAGTTCAAAAATGTTTATTGTTTTAATCCACTAAGTTTTAGAGTGATTTGCTATTTAGCAATAAACCTAATACAATAAGTAAATGAATGAAAAGGAAGGTCACAAGATCAACCTCATATTCACCAGTTTATTAAGCAGGGCTTCTATAGTAGTCAATTAGGGTACTAATTTTCAAGTATCAAAAGGGGAGGTATAGTCAGTACTTTTTCCTCTAGACAAATGTGGTTTATAAGGGACAATGATAAGGAGTCCTTATACAGAACTATAGAGTATTGGTAAAATATCTTGCATTCTTCTGAACTCAGTGGGAAAGAAAGAGAAAATTTGCTTTGAGAAAATTTGACAATTCTGGATGCTCATTCTCCAGGCAGAGTCCAGCATCTATTGTCCATGCAGTGCAGTAGGAGGAGAAGTGCCAACAGAGCTGTGAGGCCTCAAGGAAGCTGAGTCATTTCTTGATTCTTCTAAAGATAGCAGCATTTTTGTCAGCTTGTCCCTGGAGGGTACAATGGCAACAGACTGGGCAGATGTGTATCATGTGCCTATACTGTGTCAGAATAAAAGGCCACTGCTGTCTCCTTTTCATGGGACCAGCCAACTTGTACAAATTCTTATTAGGAGTGGCCATGAAGGCCAGAAGAAGCAGGCAGCTTCATCACACTGAGTGTGACTTGGTTTTTAAGAGACAGGCCGCCCACTCATCACTGATGGTCAGACATTCAGGGCCTCATGTTAAAAATTAACCAACGAAGACATTTACATGACAAATTTAAAAGTCAATGATGCTTTCACATTTGAAGATAGTATTGGGGTCTAAATTCAAGGTCCTGTTTGAAAAAATAAAAAAGACCTCAGCCAGTTTGTTTTTCTTTTCTTTTTCTCAGGGGACATCAGTTTTTTTCTGAAAACCTTTAGCTGATTGGATGAGGCCCACCACATTATGGAGGGTAATTTGCTTTACTCAAAGTCAGCTGATTTAAATTGCTTCACAGCCATATCCAGATGTGTTTGATCAAGTATGTGGGTCTCTGGCCTAGCCAAGTTGACACATAAAAATAACCATAACCCCAGACCAGGTACTACTCCTTCCTTCTTTTTTTCAAGACGGAGTCTCTCTCTGTCACCCAGGCTGGAGTGCAGTGGTGCAATCTCGGCTCACTGCAATCTCTGCCTGCCAGGTTCAAGCGATTCTTCTGCCTCAGCCTCCCAAGTAGCTGGAACTACAGGCGTGCACCACCACGCCTGGCTAATTTTTGTATTTTTAGTGGAGATGGTGTTTCACCATATTGGCCAGGCTTATCTTGAACTCCTGACCTCATGATCCGCCTGCTGCAGCCTCCCAAAGTGCTGGGATTACAGGCTGAGCCACCGTGTCTGGCCCCAGCTTAATATATTATGCCTAGAGGCTTTAACTACTTTGGGAAATAGTTTGATAAGCCAAGGGGAAAAAAGCTCATTACAAAGTGTTTTTGTTTTTGTTTTTGTTTCAGTTGGAAGGTTCTAGGCACAGGAGAAATTCCCCCAGGGATCCTTACCAAGACAATTGAGAGAATGTATAAATACAGTTACAGAATAATAGACATACAGATAGAAACAGATATAGATAGATACACACATATATATGTTTAGGGAAGTGTGTGTGTGTGTGTGTCTGTGTGTATACACAGACACACACACACACTATATATATACATATGTCCAAACAAAATCTTTTTCTTAACTTAGCAATAAAAAGTATTTTGCAAAACAGCTAGAAAAGAATCAACTAATCAAAACCTGTTTTCATTGCTCTTAAATTTTTTTTAACCTACCGGCAGTTTCCAAACTGAAAGATATATGTAATTCCAGACTTTACAGAGAATCAAACAATGAATTTGGTCAATTTTACACCTCTAGTTTAGATATTCCAAAAGGAAATTTAAGTGTTTTTTAAATGTTTTTATTTTGTTTACAGAAAAGATGCATGTGAATATTCAGCATTACAAATGAAAGTTCTTTACTACCATAAAGCACTTGAGGTTTTCATAATTTGAATACTCCTAATATTAATTGTATTTGTGGCTATGATGAATACAGAAGCTATCAAGCCATTTCCAGTGACTCATATAAAAGATGGCTCTTAGAGCTTCATCTTTCCTCTAGGTACACTCACTCCCTTAATGATCTCATCCAATTGCTTGGCTTTCAACATCATCTATATACTGATGATTCCCAAATTTATATCTGGAGCCCAGATAGCAGCAACTCTGAACTCCAGACTCATACGTCCAGCTGCATATTTGACATCTCCATTTAAAGTCCTAACATTCATCTCACACTTATCTTGTCCTGACCCAAACCGGATTTTCTCTCTCAAATCTTCTCCTCCCACCATCTTCCCCTTCTCAATAAATAGCAGTTCCATCCTCCCAGTTGTTCAGGCCAAAAATCTGGAAGTTATCTTTGACTCCTCTCTTGCTTTCACAGCTGACATCAAGTCCATCACCAAATCCTACCATTTCTACTTTCTATGTCAACCAGAATGTGACTTCACAATGTCTCCACCGCAACTGTGTTTATCCAAATCACCATTATCTCTCACCTGGATTACTCAGTAGCCTCCTAGCTGCTCTTCTGCCTCTGATCTTGCTCCCTGTGGTCCACTAAGTACACAGTAATCAGAGTGATTGAGTAAAACATAAGCAATTAAGTAAGGTAAGTCTTCCCTCTTTTCAAAACTCTAAGATGACACTTCATTTCAGCAAACTAAAAGCCAGTGCTACAAGGCCCTACATCATCTCTACACCATACCCTCCACCTTGTTATTCCTCTAACTCATATCCTACTAGTCTCCCCATTGTTCATTCCACTTGAGTCACTCTGGCCTCCTTATCATTTCTCAAACTTCAGGACTTTCACATTAGCCATAGATGCTTTCTTCCCAGGGAGCCACAGGGCTCCCTCCCTTGCTTCCTCAGGTCTTTGCTCCACTGTAACCTTCTCAGGACTCACCTGTCAAAAGGCAATCCCTCCCCTCTCTGGCAATACCTATTCTCCTTTGCTTCATTTTTTTCTATATCCCTTTTCATATCTGAGAGAGTAAATCTTTACTTATTTGTTTTTTGTTTGTTTACCTCAACTAGAATGTAAACATTCTGAGGTCAAAAGGCACCTATCTGTTTTGTTTACTATTGTATAGCCAGCTTTTAAAATATGCTTAGCATAGAGTAGGAACTCAGTACAAACTCACTGAATGTATGAATATTAAAGAATTGGAAATCCATTAGCATAAATATTTCACTATGGATATTTCAGTAATTGGCCACTATACAAGCTGGGACAAAAAAGCTCAATATATTATTGTTCATTCACCCTTGAAACAAACACTCTTACAAAAAAACTCAGAAAAAAAACAAAAGAAGGAGAATATTTCTCACATAGTTCAGTATCTGAGGTGATTTCACGTTAGCTTTATGCATCTTTGCTGCAAACCTAAGCTCTACTGTTATGACTGTTCTTCTGGAAACAAACTGGTTTCTGAATATCTCAATATTATTCTTCCACATCTGAGAACTCCATTAGAGTAGATGATCACACGACGATTTAAAACCAGATGGGCAAAGCATATGTGGGTTTAAATCCCCACCACCCCCTCCCCTGACAAATGCAACCAGAGAAATATTTTGTAAAAACTGACTAATTATAGAATAGGAGTCTTCAAACCGTGGCTCAGAGATGAAAGCCAGCTAGGGTTGCCAAATAAAATACAGAATTCCCAGTTAAACTTGAATTTCAGATAAACGACAAATAATTTTTTAGTAAAAATGTCTCAAATAGGAACTACTAAATCTGGCAAGCTTAAACCTGGCCCACACCTGTTTTTGTACAACCCATAAGCAAAGGATGATTTTTCCATCTTTAAATGACCGGAAAAATTGAAAGGAAAATAATATTTTGTTGCAAGTAAAAATTACATAAAATTTAAATTTCAGTGTCTATAAGTAGTTACTGCACACGGCCATGCTCATTTGTTTATGTACTGTCTATGGACACTTTCCAGAAGCACAGTTGAGTAGCTTCCACAGGGACTGTATGGCCACAAAACCTAAATACTTACTATCTGGCCCTTTACAGAAAAACTTTGCCAACCCTTCTTATAGAATATTTACTTTTTTACTTTCGCTCACTGAAGACAAAGCAAAGGTAACCTTCTACCCCTTAGAATTATCTTTCCTCAGAAGCCCTCCTGGCACTTTATCACTATTTTGGAAAGAAAGTAGAAAGCAAGCTGAGGAGAAGTGAAGAGATGAAGGGTGCAGGCTATGGCACCCCACAAAACTGAGTGTGAATCCTTAAATGGGGGCCATGTGAATATCACCATACCAACTATCTGCAAGAATTAGGAGACAAGAATTGATTTTAAAGGACGAAAAAGGGTCAAGTTTCCAGACTGCAACAGAGCCTGTGATTGTCAGGAGGGCAGAAAAAAAGGAGAAGGAAAGTGAAAAGATAAAAATTAGGACTAGGAGGATGGACTTCTTAATTATTCACCAAGAGGTGACCTTAAGTAAGAAATAGAGACTTCGCATGGATTCCAGCAAAGACATCAAGACCACAATTAGGGAAGTATGGATAGATGTGGTTGGATCAAGTAAGGCAGCAGTAAAACCCTTTCCAAGGTTAAGGAAATCTTGGATTGCATCTATTCAGTACAGATGTAATTGCCTTAGTTGACATTATAAAGTCCCTGTTGCCAGAAGTAAGCATTTTCATATGGGCATACCTTGCTTTACTGTGCTTTGCAGATATTGCGTATTTTACGAACTGAATGTTTGTGGCAACTCCTCCATTCAGCAAGACTGTTGGTGCCATTTTCTAATACCATGCCTTCATTTGGTGCCTCTGTGTCACATTTTGGTAATTCTCCTAATATTTCAAACTTTTTTTTATTATTATATCAGTTATGATGACCTGTGATCAGTAATTTTTGATGTATTATTGTATAGTACTCAAAAGAAAGGGCTTGAGTATGTGTTGCTGCTACTATAAGGAAAAATGAGAAAAGAAAGAGCCACATTTACATGGCTGTGGAATGCCCAGAGTCCCAAAGGAGGCAATGGAGGAAATGGCAACCACAGCCTCTTTAGCCTTATTCTTTCCAGAAAATATTTTCTACTCAGGCCCCTGAGTTAATGTTATCAGGCCTTTGTATTTTAAAGCCTAGAAAAACAAGGAGTGTATAAATTGAGGGGACAATTTATAAGATACATCAAATGACTTTATTTGTGACCCATAACCCCAGGCAATGATTCTCAACATGTGAGCCTCACATGGAAGGCATATTCCCAAACACAACTTCTGACACCAGATATACTGCACTTCACTCCTCCTAAAAGGCATATCAGCATTGGAGAGAGTGAGAGTGATGTTATCACAGAGATAACCTTGAGGCTGTTCTAAATATATTTTAAATGTAAATTATTTGCAAGCTTCAGTACTTCAACTGTGTTTGGTAACAAACACTTATGACACACCTCACTCCTGACTTGTGTCACAGCACTGTGACTGAGTAGCAGTGTTTCATGCCACTTCACTAGAACAAAATTTCCCAAAAATATAGTCCATGTTAATATTGATTATGGCAATAGTAGTATTAACAATCCCTGTAATCAATCCCTAAGGTTCCTTTGAGACCTATGTTTTTGAAGAAAAGAGGAAGTCAAATTGTCCCTGTTTGCAGATGACATGATTGTATATCTAGAAAACCCCATTGTCTCAGCCCAAAATCTCCTTAAGCTGATAAGCAACTTCAGCAAAGTCTCAGGATACAAAATCAATGTACAAAAATCACAAGCATTCTTATACACCAACAACAGACAAACAGAGAGCCAAATCATGAGTGAACTCCCATTCACAATTGCTTCAAAGAGAATAAAATACCTAGGAATCCAACTTACAAGGGATGTGAAGGACCTCTTCAAGGAGAACTACAAACCACTGCTCAAGGAAATAAAAGAGGATACAAACAAATGGAAGAACATTCCATGCTCATGGATAGGAAGAATCAATATCGTGAAAATGGCCATACTGCCCAAGGTAATTTACAGATTCAATGCCATCCCCATCAAGCTACCAATGACTTTCTTCACAGAATTGGAAAAAACTACTTTAAAGTTCATATGGAACCAAAAAAGAGCCCGCATCACGAAGGCAATCCTAAGCCAAAAGAACAAAGCTGGAGGCATCACACTACCTGACTTCAAACTATACTACAAGGCTACAGTAACCAAAACAGCATGGTACTGGTACCAAAACAGAGATATAGATCAATGGAACAGAACAGAGCCCTCAGAAATAACGCCGCATATCTGCAACTATCTGATCTTTGACAAACCTGAGAAAAACAAGCAATGGGGAAAGGATTCCCTATTGAATAAATGGTGCTGGGAAAACTGGCTAGCCATATGTAGAAAGCTGAAACTGGATCCCTTCCTTACACCTTATACAAAAATCAATTCAAGATGGATTAAAGACTTAAATGTTAGACCTAAAACCATAAAACCCCTAGAAGAAAACCTAGGCATTACCATTCAGGACATAGGCATGGGCAAGGACTTCATGTCTAAAACACCAAAAGCAATGGCAACAAAAGACAAAATTGACAAATGGGATCTAATTAAACTAAAGAGCTTCTGCACAGCAAAAGAAACTACCATCAGAGTGAACAGGAAACCTACAAAATGGGAAAAAATTTTCGCAACCTACTCATCTGACAAAGGGCTAATATCCAGAATCTACAATGAACTCAAACAAATTTACAAGAAAAAAACAAACGACCCCATCAAAAAGTGGGCGAAGGACATGAACAGACACTTCTCAAAAGAAGACATTTATGCAGCCAAAAAACACATGAAAAAATGCTCATCATCACTGGCCATCAGAGAAATGCAAATCAAAACCACAATGAGATACCATCTCACACCAGTTAGAATGGCAATCATTAAAAAGTCAGGAAACAACAGGTGCTGGAGAGGATGTGGAGAAATAGGAACACTTTTACACTGTTGGTGGGACTGTAAACTAGTTCAACCATTGTGGAAGTCAGTGTGGCGGTTCCTCAGGAATCTAGAACTGGAAATACCATTTGACCCAGCCATCTCATTACTGGGTATATACCCAAAGGACTATAAATCATCCTGCTATAAAGACACATGCACACGTATGTTTATTGCAGCTTTATTCACAATAGCAAAGACTTGGAACCAACCCAAATGTCCAACAATGATAGACTGGATTAAGAAAATGTGGCACATATACACCATGGAATACTATGCAGCCATAAAAAATGATGAGTTCATGTCCTTTGTAGGGACATGGATGAAATTGGAAATCATCATTCTCAGTAAACTATCACAAGAACAAAAAACCAAACACCGCATATTCTCACTCATAGGTGGGAATTGAACAATGAGATCACATGGACACAGGAAGGGGAATATCACACTCTGGGGACTGTGGTGGGGTGGGGGGAGGGGGGAGGGATAGCATCGGGAGATATACCTAATGCTAGATGATGAGTTAGTGGGTGCAGCGCACCAGCATGGCACATGTATACATATGTAACTAACCTGCACAATGTGCACATGTACCCTAAAACTTAAAGTATAATAAAAAAAAAATGAAATTGTTTTCTGTTCCCAACATCTGTTGATGCACTTCACAAGCTTATACTCATAGTCAGCCAAAATATTCATTAGTTCATTCATTAGTTCATTTATTCTCAACATATAGCTCACGTGATAAGAAGCACTCACCTAGTATGATTGATCACAAAAACAGAAATCTCATGCATTTGGGTCAACTAATATGGAATGAGAGCCTGCTTTTTGTCAGATGCAATTCTGGGGATAAAGACGAATAGTCATACCCCTGGCCCTCTAGAAGCTAATGGTCTAGTAGGGATGACGGACAAAATAATTTCAGTGTGATGTAGTTAAATTAAAATGGTAGATGTGAACACAATGTGTGATCAGCCCATAGAAAAGGAAACTGAGTCACAAATGAATAACTGGAGAAAGCTTTGTATGAAAGCTAATGCATTGTTCTTTACAGATATTTACTGTGCAGCTACCCAATTTCAGTAAGAATCCTGTGCATCACCATACAGCTGTTGAGAAGACAGCATGGTGCCTGACATAGGGAGCTTATAGTCTAATGAGGAGAGACAAGATGGATCCATTTGCTTGACTCCCAAAGGCAAGTGGAAAGTCACTGAACTCTGCCAGCACCCTCAACCCACCTCTCTGCCCAGGCCTCCCATTTTCAAGGTGACCTGTACTGTCTTGCTGTTCTGTGGTAGATACTTCAAGAATAACTCCTTAGCACACAGTTTTCCCTTTTGGGAAATATTCACAAACATAGGATGAGATGTGAGGCCATGACTTTACATGACCCAGACATGCTGGAAATAGCTAATTGTTCCTCAAGTAGTACCTGACTCAAACTGAGCCAGCCAGCAATCTCTCATTAGAATTTGAAATTCTAGACTAAGACACATAGAGATAGGCATTGAATCACATTAATGGCAATGCCTTATGAAGAATGACCACAAACTCCTGTGACAAGGCCCTGCAGCCACTCTGCCTTCTACTCTGCCCACATGCTACCTGTTGGACTCCCTTCAACTCTCTGAGAACTCTCCCAGTTTCCTTCTATCTGCTTAGGTGGGCCAGAGTCAGCTCTTATGCTTATAATCCAAGAAACCCTCCTACATGTCACCTGTTCACAGTCTTCCAGCTGTAACCAGTCAAGCTATATTTCCCTCTGATTAAACAATTTGTAGAGAGATTAATGACTCATACAGCTTAGTATGTTATCTACTCTCCATAGAGGCGATAGTTTGGGGAAACTCGTGGAGATATAACACCAGAATCCAGAGAATCTACTCCATTGCAGGAGAGTTTCAGGACCTAACGAACCTTAATAGTCCAGCAAAGGAGATACTTGGATATAAGCAGAATTATGAATGACTCTGAAATGCCACCAAATATGGTTTCAAATCTAGCTCCGTCATTCATTCACTTAACGAAGTTTATACAGCTAGTAAATGGTAGAGCGAAAATTTGAAGCCAAATCTGGCTATTTCTGAATCTCACATTTTTTTTCATATTACAAATGTATTAATGTGTTTTTTACATTCTTCCTTTAAAACAATGGTTTCAATTGGGGGAAATTCTTCACACCCCTAATCCCACCCCAGAAGACTTTGGCAATGTCTGGGGACAATTTTGGTTGTCTGTGGGATGAACTGGCCTCTAGCAGGTAGAGACCAGAGATAACGCTAAGTAAACTACAATGCACAGAACATCCCCGGCCATAACTATCTGGCCCAAAATGCCAGTGGTGCTGAGGCTAAAAATCCTTGCATTAAGTAAAAGAAAATAGACAAATCTTTGAAAGAATGTGTAACTCAAATGTGCAAAGCAAGAAATTAAGTAAAAAATCCCATTTTATAGAAGATATACATTGGAATATTATGTGGTCATTAATTGTAGACAGATCTATGATGTGAAAAAATTTACAGTATTTTTAAATAGAAAAAATATTCTCCAGAAACAGTTGTATAGAGTATTATCCCATTTTGTAAATAAAATACATACATACATGAACATGGGCTCACATATATGCAGGAAAAAAACTGAAACACTATACGCCAGTAAGTTGGTAGTGTCTACCTCTGAGGGGGAGGGGGATTAAATGATTTTTGTTTTCCTCCTTTTTCCTTGAGATGCAGTTCTACATTAAAAGTTATTTTTTTTCACAATCTATACATCCATCAAAGGACTAATATCTAGACTCTACCAAGAACTCAAACAAATTAGCAAAACAAACAAGCAAACAATCCTATCAAAAAGTGGGTTAAGGACATGAATAGACAATTCTCAAAAAAAGACACAAATGGCCAAGAAGCATATGGAAAAATACTTAACATCACTAATTATCAGGGAAATGCAAATCAAAACCACAATGTGATACCATCTCACTCCTGCAAGAATGGCTATAATAAAAAAATCAAAACATAATAGATGTTGGTGTGGATGTGGTGAAAGTGAACACTTTTACACTGCTGGTGGGAATGTAAACCAGTACAACCACTATGGAAAACAGTGTAGAGATTCCTTAAAGAACTAAAAATTCATCTACCATTTGAACCAGCAATCCCACTACTAGGTATCTACCCAGAGGAAAAGAAGTCATTATACCAAAAAGATACTTGCACACACATTTATAGCAGCACAATTTGCAATTACAAAAATATGGAACAAGCCCAAATGCCCATCAATCAATGAGTGGATAAAGAAAATGTGGCATATATATATATATATATATGTGTGTGTGTGTGTGTGTGTATATATACATATATATATACATGTATAGATACATATATATACACATATATATACATATATATATACACACACACACATATATATATATACACTACACCATGGAATACTACTTAGCCATAAAAAGGAACAAAATAATGGCACTTAGAGCCACCTGGATGGAATTGCGGACTATTATTCTAAGTACCTCAGGAATGGAAAACCAAACATCGTATGTTCTCACTCATAAGTAGGAGCTAAGTTATGAGGATGCAAAGGCATAAGAATAATACAATGAACTTTGGGGACTCAGGGGAAAGGGTGGGAGGGGGGTGATGAATAAAAGACTATACATTGCATACAGTGTACACTACTTGGGTGATGGGTGCACCAAAATCTCAGAAATCACCACTAAAGAACTTATTCATGTAACCAAACACCACCTGTTCCCCAAAAAAACTATTGAAAACTCTTTAGTTTAATTAGGTCCCAGCTATTGAAATAAAAAATAAATTTTAAAAAGTTATTTGTTTTTATATTTTAAAATGACTCTAAATGACCTCAGTAGATTCAGATTGGCTCACACTTGCTTGTCTTACTTCACCCACCTACACATTCAAGAAAAGAAGCATTGTTTTATTAAAATAAGCTCAGAAAGTGACTCTCTGTTTATGAGGTCCTGGTGCATGCTTGAAAAAATTAATTACATGATCTTATCTCCCCAAAGCCCCCTCGTTTCTGACTCAGGTGAGTTCTGGTGACATCCCCACACCATCCTTTTCTTCCAGCTATAGAGTCAGTTATTCTTGTTAAGAACTTCTGAATAAACCTTAGATGAATGAGACATTATTCACAGCTCAAACTACACAACCTCTATTACTTAACTGATGAGAGGGAAGAAGAATTTTAGAACTTACATTCTTAATCTAAACATTAAAACTAAATCATTATTGGAAAAACAATTCTGTCCCTAATTAATAAAAATACTCAGAATTAATCCTCATATCCTTTTTATTACAGATTCATTTCTTTCATCAGGCAAAATATTATTATTTTTATTAGTCTTCATTCTATTCCTAACAGAGCCACAACAAAAAAGGACTTGATCTTCATTTGAAATAATAATGACAAAGACAGGTCAGTCCAGGACTACTCTTCTTCAAGTACTAGGAGACAAAATCCCTTGCTATAGTTACATAATTTTTTAAAAATATAAAGAACCAAAGGAGTTTATAACAGACTTGAGTTTTTTTGTGGGGGTTGTGAGGGGGTGCTTTGTTTGTTTGTTCATGTTTGTTTTCCATAGAAGACATCAATTATCATTACTTCTTTCTTTTCTGCTTTTTAATATATCTGCATTTATTTTAATATTTTATTTTATTTTTCCACAAGTTGTTGGGGTATGGGTGGTATTTGATTACGTGAGTAAGTTCTTTAGCGGTAATTTCTGAGATTTTGGTGCACCCATCACCCAAGCAGTATACACTGCACCATATTTGTAGTCTTTTATCCCTCACCCCCCTCCCACTCTTCCCCCCAAGTCCCCACAGTCCACTGTATCATTCTTATGCCTTTGCATCTTCATAGCTTAGCTCCCACATATCAGTAAGAACATATGATGTTTGGTTTTCCATTCCTGAGTTACTTCACTCCAAACTTATCCAGATCACTTCAAATGCTGTTAATTCATTCCTTTTTATGGCTGCATAGTATTCCATCATATATGCACCACAGCTTCTTTATCCACTCATTGATTGATGGGCATTTGGGTTGGTTCCACGATTTTGTAATTGAGAGTTGTGCTGCTATAAACATGCATGTGCAAGTGTCTTTTTCAAATAATGACTTCTTTTCCTTTGGGTAGATACCCAGTAGTGGGATTGCTGGATCAAATGGTAGTTCTACTTTTAATTCTTTAAGGAATCTCCACACTGTTTTCCATAGCGGCTGTTCTAGTTTACATTCCCACCAGCAGTGCAGAAGTGTTCCCTGTTCACCCCATCCACACCAACATCAATTGTTATCAATTGTTTTTTGAATTTTTGATTATGGCCATTCTTGCAGGAGTGAGGTGGTATCGCATTGTGGTTTTGATTTGCATTTCCCTGATCATTAGGGATGTTGAGCATTTTTTCATATATTTGTTGGCCATTTGTATATTTTCTTTTGAGAATTGTCTATACATGTCCTTAGCCCACTTTTTAATGGGATTGCTTGTTTTTTCCTTACTGATTTGTTTGATTTTGTTGTACATTCTGGATATTAGTCCTTTGTCAGATGTATAGATTGTGAAGATTTTCTCCCATTCTGTGGGTTGTCTATTTACTCTGCTGACTGTTCCTTTTGCCATGCAAAAGCTCTTTTGTTTAATTAGGTCCCAGCTATTTATCTTTGTTTTTATTGCATTTGCTTTTGGGTTCTTGGTCATGAAAACCTTACCTAAGCCAACGTCTAGAAGGGTTTTTCCAATGTTATATTCTAGAATTTTTATAGTTTCAAGTCTTAGATTTAAGTCCTTAATCCATCTTTAGTTTATTTTTGTATAAGGTAAGAGATGAGGATCCCATTTCATTCTCCTACATGTGGCTAGCCAATTACCCCAGCACCATTTGTTGAAAAGGGTGTCCTTTCCCCCACTTTATGTTTTTGTTTGCTTTGTCAAAGATCAGTTGGCTGTAAGTATTTGGGTTGATTTCTGGGTTCTCCATTCTGTTTCATTGGACTATCTGCCTATTTTTGTACTAGTATCACGCTGTTTTGGAGACTATGGCCTTATAGTATAGTTTGAAATCAGGTAGTGTGATGCCTCCAGAATTGTTCTTTTTGCTTTGTCTTGCTTTGGCTATACAGGCTCTTTTTTGGTTCCATCTGAATTTTAAAATTGTTTTTTCTTTTTCTTTCTTCTTCTTTTTTTTTTTTGAGATGGAGTATCACTCCATCACACAGGCTGGAGTGCAGTGGCACAACCTCAGCTCACTGCAACCTCTGCCTCCCAGGTTCAAGCAATTCTCTGCCTCAGCCTCCCAAGTAGCTGGGATTACAGGCACCCACCACCATGCCCAGCTAATTTTTGTATCTTTAGTAGAGATGGGGTTTCTCAATCTTGGCCAGCCTGAACTCCTGACATCGTGATCCACCCACCTCAGCCTCCCAAAGTGCTGGGATTACAGGCGTGAGCCACCGCGCCTGGCCTAGAATTGTTTTTTCTAATTCTGTGAAGAATTATGGTGGTATTTTCATGGGGGATTTCATTGAATTTGTAGATTGCTTTTGGCAGTATGGTTATTTTCACAATATTGATTCTACCTATCCATGAGCATGGGATGTGTTTCCATTTGTTCATGTCATCTATGATTTCTTTCAGCAGTGTTTTTTAGTTTTCTTTGTAGAGGTCTTTCTATTTCTTGGTTTGGTATATTCCTATTTTATTTTATTTTATTTTTTGCAGCTATTGTAAAATGGGTAGAGTTCTTGATTTGATTCCCTGCTTGGTTGCTGTTGGTGTATAGAAGAGCTACTGATTTGTATATATTAATCTTGTAACCAGAAACTTTGCTGAATTTTTTTTTATCAGTTCTAGGCACTTTCTGGAGGAATCCTTAGGGTTTTCAAGGTAAACGATCATATCGTCAGCAAACAGTGGCAGTTTGACTCCTCTTTACCAATGTGGATGCCCTTTATTTCATTCTCTTGTCTGATTGCCCTGGCTAGGACTTCCAGTACTATGTTGAAGAGGAGTGGTGAGAGTGGACATCCTTGTCTTGTTCCAGTTCTCAGAGGGAATGATTTCAATTTTTCCCCATTCAGTATTATGTTGGCTGTGGGTTTGTCATAGATGGCTTTTATTACATTGAGGTATGCCCCTTGTATGCCGATTTTGCTGAGAGTTTTAATCATAAAGTGATGCTGGATTTTGTCAAATGCTTTTTCTGCATCTATTGAGATGATCATGTGATTTTTGTTTTTAATTCTGTTTATGTGGTGTATCACATTTATTGACCTGTGTATGTTAAACCATCCCTGCATCTGTGATATGAAACCCACTTGATCATGGTGGATTATCTTTTTGATATGTTGTTGGATTTGGTTAGCTAGTATTTTGTTAAGGATGTTAGCCTCTATGTTCATCATGGATATTGGTCTGTAGTTTTCTTTTTTGGTTTTGTCCTTTCCTAGTTTTGGTATTAGGGTGATGCTGGCTTCATAGAATGAATTAGGGAGGGTTCCTTCCTTCTCTGTCTTGTGGAATAGGGTCAAAAGGATTGGTACCAATTCTTCTTTGAATATCTGGTAGAATTCTGCTGTGAATCTGTCTGGTCCTGGACTTTTGTTGTTGTTGGCAATTTTTTAATTACTATTTCAATCTTGCTACTTGTTACTGGTCTGTTCAGGATATCTAATTCTTCCTGATTTAAGCTAGGAGGGTTGTATTCTTTCAGGAATTTATCCATCTCTTCTAGGTTTTCTAGTTTATGTGCATAAAGGTGTTCATAGTAGCCTTGAATGACTGTTTGTATTTCAGTGGTGTCAATTGTAATTCTTCTGTTTCATTTCTTAGTGAGGTTATTTGGATTTTCTCTCTTCTTTTCTTGGTTAATCTTGCCAATGGTCTATCAACTTTATTTATCTTTCCAAAGAACCAGCTTTTTTTTTGTTTCATTTATCTTTTGTATTTTTTTTTGTTGTTGTTTCAATTTCATGTAGTTCTGCTCTTATCTTGGTAATTTCCTTTCTTCTGCTAGATTTGGGTTTGGTTTCTTCTTGTTTCTCTAGTTCCTTGAAGTGTGACCTTAGATTATCTGTTTGTGCTCTTTCAGTCTTTTTGATGTAGGTGTTTAGGGCTATGAAATTTCCTCTTAGCACCACCTTTGCTGAATCCCAGAGGTTTAGATAGGTTGTGTCATTGTTGTCATTCAGTTCAAAGAATTTTTAAATTTCCATCTTGATTTCATTTTTGACCCAATGCTCATTCAGGAGCAGGTTATTTAATTTCCATGTATTTCCATGGCTTTGAAGGTTCCTTTTGGAGTTGATTTCCAGTTTTATTCCACTGTGATCTGAGAGAGTGCTTGATATAATTTCAATTTTCTTTAATTTATTGGGGCTCATCTTATGGCGTATCATGTGGTCTATCTCGGAGAAAGTTCCATGTGCTGTTGAATAAAATGTGTATTCTGCAGTTGTTGGATGAAATGTTCTGTATACATCTGTTAAGTCCATTTGGTCCAAGGTATAGTTTAAAACCATTGTTTCTTTGTTGACTTTCTGTCTTGATGACCTGTCTAGTGCTGTCAGTGGAGTATTGAAGTCTCCCACTATTATTATGTTGCTATGTCATTTCTTAGGCCTATTAGTAATTGTTTTATAAATTTGGGAGCCCCAGTGTTAGGTGAATGTATGTTTAGTATTGTGATATTTTCCTGTTGGACAAGCTCTTTTACCATTATAAAATGTCCCTCTTTCAACTGCTGTTGCTTTAAAGTTTGTTTTGTGTGATATAAGAATAGCTACCCCTGCTCGCTTTTGGTGTCCATTTGCATGAAATGCCTTTTTCCACCCCTTTACTTTAAGTTTATATGAGTCCTTATGTGCTAGATGAGTCTCCTGAAGGCAACAGATGGTTGGTTGGTGAGTTCTTATCCATTCTGCAGTTCTGTATCTTTTAAGTGGAGCATTTAGGCCATTTACATTCAATATTAGTATTGAAGTGTGAGGTACCGTTGCATTCATCATGCTCTTTGTTGCATGGGTACTTTGTTTTTTTTGTTTTTTGCTTTTACTTTTTAACTTGTATTTTTGTTTCATAGGTCCCGTGTGATTTATACTTTAAAGAAGTTTTCATGTGTTTCCAGGATTTGTTTCAAGATTTAGAACTCCTTTTAGCAGTTCTTGTAGTGCTGGCTTGGTAATGGTGAATTCTCTCAGCATTTTGTTTGTCTGAAAAAGACTGTATCTTTCCTCCATATATGATGCTTAGTTTCACTGGATACAAAATTCTTGGCTGACAATTGTTTTGTTCAAGGAGGCTGAAGATAGGACCCCAATCCCTTTTAGCCTGTAGGAGTTCTGCTGAGAAATCTGCTGTTAATCAGATAGGTTTTCTTTTATAGGTTACCTAGTGCTGTCTCACAGCTCTTAGGATTCTTTCCTTTGTCTTGACTTTGGATAACCTGATGACAATCTGCCTAGGTGAAGATATTTTTGCGATGAATTTCCCAAGTGTTCTTTGTGCTTCTTGTATTTGGATGTCTAGGTCTCCATCAAGGCCAGGGCAGTTTTCCTCATTTATTCCCCCAAATGTGTTTTCCAAGCTTTTAGAATTCTCTTCCTCCTCAGGAACACCAATTATTCCTAGGTTTGGTAATTTACCATAATGCCAGACTTCTTGGAGGTTTTGTTCATATTTTCTTATTCTTTTTTCTCTTTATTGGATTGGGGTAATTCAAAGACTTTGTCTTTGAGCTCTGAATTTCTTCTTCTACTTGTTCAATTCTATTGCTGAGACTTTCCAGAACATTTTGCATTTCTAAATGTGTGTCCAAAGTTTCCTGAATTTTTTGTTTTTTCTTTAAGCTATCTATTTCCTTAAATATTTCTCCCTTTACTTCTTGTATCACTTTTTGGATTTCCTTGCATTGGGCTTTGCCTTTCTCTGGTCCCTACCTGATTAGCTTAATAACTAACCTCCTGAATTCTTTCAGGTAAATCAGAGATTTCTTCTTGGTTTGGATTCATTGCTGGTGAACTTGTATGATTTTTTGGGGGGTGTTGAAGAGCCTTGTTTTGTTACAATACCAGGGTTAGTTTTCTGGTTCCTTCTCATTTGGGTAGGCTCTGTCAGAGGGAAGGTCTAAGGCTGAAGGCTGTTCAGATTCTTTTGTCCCACGTAGTATTCCCTTGAAGTAGTACTCTCCACCTTTTCCTATGAATGTGGCTTCCTGTGTGGCAAACTGCAGTGATTGTTGTCTCTCTTCTGAGTCTGGCCAGCCAGCAAGTTTACCCAGCTCTGGGCTGGTACTGGGGGTTGCCTGTACAGAGTCCTGGGATGTGAACCATCTACGGGTCTCTCAGCTGTGGATACCAGTGCCTGTTCTGGTGGAGGTGGCAGAGGGTTGCAATGGACTCCCTGAGGGTTCTTAGCTTTGATGGTTTAATGCACTGTTTTTGTGCTGGTTGGCCTCCTGCTAGGAGGTGGCGCTTTCCAGAGAGCATCAGCTGTGGTATTATGGGGAGGAACCGGTGGTGGGCAGGGCCCTAGAACTCCCAAGTTCTTTGTTTTCTGCCACCAGGATGGCAGAAACACCCTTTGTTTTCTGCTACCAGGGTGGATAGGGAAGGACCATCAGTTGGGGGCGGGGCTAGGTGTGTCTGAGCTCAGACTCTCCTTGAGTGGGTCTTGCTGCAGCTGTTGTGAGGAATGGGGTGAGATTCCCAGGTCACTGGAGTTATGTACCTAGGAGGATTATGGCTGCCTCTGCTGAGTCATGCAGGTTGTCAGGGAAGTGGGGAAAAGCCAGCAGTTACAGGCCTCACCCAGCTCCAAAGTAAACTGAAGGGCTAGTCTCATTTCCACCGTGACCCAACCCAACAGCCCCCAGTGCATTTCAAGGTGGAGAGCAATAGGGGTTTGAAAACCTGCCCCAGGCTACCTGCCACTCAGCTGCGAAAGAAAAGGGCTTAGTTCTTCCCGGCTCGCCCCCCTACCACCTGCATGTGGAGTCTGCACACCAGATTTGCACCCTCCCAAGTTCTGGCCAGGAGGCTTCTCACCCCGTTCAAATTGTTGCAAAGTTCAGCTAGAGATTTGTTTCTCCCTGTGTAGTTTTACCCCCTGCTCCTCTCCCGATGGAGCCCTGTGGTGTCAGGCAGGAATGGGCTGCTAGGGGACCCGGCAAGCTCCCAGGGCCTTTCTGCTTCTTCCTCTACTCCTGTATTTCACTTGGCTCTCCAAATTGACTCAGCTCCAGGTTAAGTCAGAAACTTCTCCCGCAAACAGACCTTCAGCTTCTCCAGTGGGGGTGTGTGTTTGGGAGAGGAGGGTCTCCCTTTCCCACTTCTGCAGTTGGGGCACTCAGAGTTTTGGTTGGGGGGAGGGGGTCTCCCGAGTCCTGAAGGAGCAGTCTCCTTCCTTCAGAGGGTCTGTGGGTCCTCTCGAGATTGCTGGTTTGCTCTTGCAGTCGATTTGGGGCTACAATTCCCAATTGTCATTACTTCTTTAAGCTGACCTACATCTATTGAATCACTAGAAAACCTTCTTCTGTTCTTCAGAGAAAATCCTTTTTTGGGGGCAAAGGAAACAGTTTTCAGTAACTGAGTATTAGGTATCCCAGACTATCAGAAAAGCATTTCCTATAATTTATCTCCTCTCTTCTCAGTATTTGTTCCTACTGGAGAGATTTTTCTGTAAAATTTACACAAGAAAATAGAATGGCGTCTCAAATTAAATTATACCCCAAAGAGTTATATCCCCTTTCCACAGATTGAGCATTCAACCCACATTACCTCCTCAAGACCCTACTTCTAAACATGTTCTCTTCTTTTCTCCAGTTATTGAACACCTCAAAAGGAAAGGTGTGTGTATACCTCTGTGTGAGTATGTGTGTATGAATGTGTTTCTGTGTTGAGGTGTGTCTGTGTATATTTGTTTTATTCCAAATGAGTTAAGAAAGACATTTGCTGAATATCTCAAAATTGGGGCTGGCAAATAATAGACGCTTCATGAATAGGTGTTAAGTGAATAACCAGTGAATGAACAAGGTCTATAATCTTTTTAATAAAATTTAAATGTACTAAATTGCCCTTCTTATTGATAAGCTCATACTCTTATCAAGGATCAAGAGAGAGAACTGGCATCACCAACAGCTCTTCCTGAAAATTCACACCATTTATTTCAATAAATACATTGATAGCTTGAATTGGTGCCATTCTTTTCCATTAAGGTGTCAATGTATTTGGTGTGTTTTAATTCCTTGGTAGAAGGAATTAAGTTTTTAAAAATCTGGCTCATTGATAAATTAGTCTGTTAATACTTTATTTTGATTATAAGATATTAAGGATTCTATTTAACCTTAGAAAAATGTTACTTTTAGCCTAACAAAATAAGATTAAAATGGAACAGAGATGATACATGTCACTTTTAAATGATGCGAATAATCTATTCCTGGGCTAGAGACCCAAGTTACTTTCTGTTCCAATATCTTTCATGTGTAATAAAATGGCACAACCATCTCCATCCTACTATTTCAGGAAATTTTATTCACAAAAGGCAATGAACAACTGCTCATTGCAAATAATATGAAATAAGAATAAAGAAATTGCAAATATTCCATCAATTTCAAATGGCATGGCCTTTAGCTATCCAAATATCAGAAGAAGTAACAATAATACAATTCATTTTAAACTACATTATTAGCTAAAATTATTGGTAAGGAAAACTAGGAAAAGGAAATCAGTTACCCAGGTATAAAATTCAATGTAAATGTTAGACATATAAATTAAAATAAGGATGTGATTTCAAAACCAGTAGAGAAAAGATAAGTTGAGAGCATAATAGAGATTTATATTTTCTATGGTCAGTTTTTGTCTCTAAACCAAAACTGAATAGTTTATATTCAAAATTTTTGATAACTTTTATACTTTTTTATAAAAATGTTTATACTTTTGTATATACAAGAATTGATAAGGTTAGAAAGTTGAAATATATTTGAATTGCCTGTTGTGCATACACTAAAACCAGATTTTTAATTTTCCAAAATCAAAATTTCTCAAGTACTGGAAATACTTCCTTATTATTCAAACTAATTCTCACCATTATTACTAAGGCTTTTTAAAAATCTGGTTTACAAACATGCTTCTATATTAATGCCAGTAACTTTGGCTGAATCACTTTTAAAAACTGAGTCATTCCCTGGAAAGAGAGTGATAGTGTAATACATCCACATAGAAAATTATTTCTACCATTCTCTCTGATCCTTTCTGCAGTATCATGGTTGGGACCTCCAGCTGATCAATTCTTCCACCAGTTTGCAAGTCAGCCCCTTCTGCAAAGGGCTCCCCTCTAGTTCTAACCTGTGAGTAATCTCTAAATGGCATCAAAAATCAAAAGGAGGTGCTGATATGAACCAATTACTTAAGACCTCAGACCTTTGTTCAATGATGAATTACTTTCTGTCAGACAATAATTTGTCTAATATGCTGTTCATCAAAAATATATCTTACATCTCCTACATATTCTTATATCTCTGAAATTATGTTATTTATCTTATTCTGTCCATTTATTTTCATAGGCCTAGGATTAAAGCTGTTTTCCCCCTGTATGGACAAGCATGTCGTCTGTAATGAAGGCTATGTAGGGTGTCCTTGGAGACATTTTTGTCTGCTACATATCTTGTTTTAGACATCCATTCTGTAATCTGTCCTGCTGACATTCCTGTGTTGACAGAGCATCAACCCATTGAGGAAATTAAATTATCCCTCCATGGACAAGCATCTCTGCCTGAAACTCTGGAAACCAAATCACGGAACACCAAGAATCGTTTCACATGCCTTCTATGACATACAAAATCAAGCATTTATTTCTACTCTTATTATGATTGAGAAGTGCCCTTCACCTGGTCAATGCCAGTTAGCTGCAATTAAACTACAGTCTTTTGTGACATGTGACA
Source organism: Homo sapiens (assembly GCF_000001405.40). Lineage (NCBI taxonomy): Eukaryota > Metazoa > Chordata > Mammalia > Primates > Hominidae > Homo > Homo sapiens. Next base: position 111,980,897 of record NC_000004.12, read on the forward strand.
TGTTTCTGAATGAAAAGAAAATCATATCATAAGCCTACTTCTCAGCTGTGACATGCTACCTAGGCTCTGGTATGCCTCAAGTTAGAAAATATGCCTTTCCCTTCACAAAAAGAAATGCCATATTATCACAAAGGTTGTGGCCCCTGTGGGCTTGCTCACTCATGGTAATTCTGAATCAGTAACAACAAAGGGAAGAATTACCTGTTTTAAAGTCATATTTTATTAAAATATATCTTTGCTTTTATTTATCTAACAGCAACTTATTCCATGCTGGAATAATTTAAAACAACTGCTATTCCTTCAACTACTTTGTGATATTTTCTTTTCAAATCTCAGCTAACATGTCCTTGAGATGAACAGCTAGCTATGGCTATATTCAGACTGTGAACTGAATGTCTCAAGCAGCGATTCTCAAACTTGTCTTCACATTGGAATCACCTGAGATTTCAAAAATATATTAATGCCTATATTCTACCCCAGAGATTGTAAATTAATTGGTCCCAGTGTGTCCAGGGCTCAGAAATTTTTGCTAGGCCTACAGATGACTTTAACGTGCAACTAAGTTTGAGAACTACTGGCCTATAGAAATATTAATTACCATATCACTATGTGAGCATTAGCTAAATACTTACAGCATCCCATTTTTATTTAACGTCATCATGAATGCTATTCAAGCCACTTAACATTACTAATATTTGTTACCACATATTAAATTGACAGGCACTTTCCTGATACTCTATGCAACCCTCTCAACATTCCTATAAGATAGGTATTATTATTCTCACCTCACAAATAAGAAAACTGAAGGTTGGAAAGTTTGTAATTTTTACCCAAAGCCACCCACTAATAAATGGTGGAGCTAGTATTTGAATCCGAGTCTCTTAGACTCTAAAAGACCTGCTATTTCCACTACATCATACATTTTCAACAGGGGTGATACCACTTCCAAGTAAGTGAAAATTAGTTCTCAGAAGTCAAAAAATTCTTAGATTACATCATGGTTTGTGAATCTTCAAAGCCCAACTCTGCCTGAAAAAATCTTATTCCTTAATATTTAATTATCTCATTAGGGGTAATTTAAATTAAATTTTATTTTCTTACTGAAGGGGACAATAATGAAAAAAAAAGTGTAAGAAACACTGCACTATATCATGTTCTGTCTCCATCTGTTTTGGTAAATAAGTTAATATATACCACTCATAAACCACATACAAATTACTTACTACGCAGAGTACCTATAGAGAAAATCTCTCTCCTCAGTTTTACAATTCCCAAGTTGCACTTACAGTTAGAAAGAAACACTATATAAATAAAACCTACATGTCACAGGTTCTCAGAATGCTAATGATAGAAGAGGAAGTAGTAAGTCCAAGGAGTGTTATCTAAAAAGTCATTATGAATGTCTATTATATTGTTACCTCAGCATCATAGCAGTAGGTAAATATGAAAGTCAGCTTTCTCTGATCTGACATGGTTAGATGTCAAACTTTTAAACACCTAGAGGCAAGAATCAAGTTTTATCCATCTTTTTATCTTCTATAGCACTTGGCTTCATACAAACCAGTCATTCAAGAAATGTGTATAAAATTAAAAGGAAAACAAAATTGCCATTTCCTGACACAGGCTACCAATTACATAATTAAATATATACAATAATAAAACAATTCTGAGCAAATTTTAATTAGTCTTTATTGATTCAGAACATATTTTCTACTTTCTTTAAGATCATTATTTTAAAATCAAATTTGATTCTGACACAGGGAAGTGCAGCACAAAATAAGTATTCCACTTTCTTCCTAATTTCTTCTCCAGAAAACTACTAATTTGACTTTCCAAGATGTCACCATTGCCCTGTGGAGAGACACAAAAAGGCCTTGGGGCTATTGCCAAGTGTTGAAATACCTGAACTCAGACTTCAGTTGAAGGCAATGATGACACCTACCCCACCGTAGCCTGAGAAGGCATCTCTGGGAAGAAGTCGCCTAACTTATGCCCAAAGCATCCATGTGTTTATGCCTGCCTCAAGGAAGCATGGAAAGAAATTGAAGGGACTAGCGGATATATGGTGCCACATAAATTTATTTGCCTAAGGCAAGATAGAGAGCTTTGGACAATTTCCTCAAAGGAGCTGTTACTTTGAAAAGCTTGACAACCCACAGGTAAGAAGGATTCCTTTGTGAGCAGATCAGAAGGAAAAAATTTTAAAAAGCCCTAAGGTTTTCAGCTATAAAGACAGAGAAAATATTTGAGAATGGTCCCAAGGGCCAAAGACACCAAGAGAGGAGTTTCTATACGTTATAGCTGGAAATTGCTGTTCATATCCATGGCCAATGAGTGCAACCAAGGAAGAGAGGGGACCTAGAAGAGGAACAACCAAGGGGAATTGCCTCTCTTGATAGTGGCTGCCATTGAAGTTTAGATAGTGTCAGCTTGGGAAAGAAATTTCTTTGCATGGCCAACTCTGGCCCTTTCTGCTTTCTCCGGAAGGGAAACTGAATTATGCTTATCTTTCCATGCACCTAGAGCTCCTATCCAGCCTGAATAATTCTGCTATTCTTCTTAATGAGAAAATTGGTCCACCAGGGGCTAAAAAAAAAACCAGTTAAATTTGCATTGCAGAACTCAAACCAGTTATTGAGACTCGAAAGGGTAAAGTAGCATTCAGATTCCTGGATTAGAGAGAGTGTACCTTATCAAATGAGCTATGTGAGGTAGCAGTTATAATAATAATAAAAACAATGATAGTAGATAAGATTTACTGAACATTTGCTATATATCAGCCACCATGTTAGGGTTCTATATTCAATTTTTTTATTTAAACATTTCAAAAATCTTATGAGAATTGTTTTATATACAGTATAAAGAAGGATGGAGAATTGAGGTGAGGAAAATGCAAGATGACAGAATTTGCCATTGTTTTCTTGTGTTATAAGTTAGTATTTGAACTTGCAAAGCTTTGTCTTCTCAGAGCAACCTGCCTTTTCTGATATCTATCTGTGTCATTTAAATCTTTGCTTCCTTTGTAAGGGTCAGAAACCTAACTCAAAATAGGCTAAGTAGAAAAGACATTTTAGGAGCTCATATAATCAAACCACAGGTAGCAACAGGGCACCAGATCTCCATGCCTTATCTCTATTTCTCTTTAGGTGCATTACTCTCTCGCATATAGCGGACAAGGATTCTCCACTTGGCTGGGAAAATAGCTGTTTACAATTCCACATTTACCTCTTCTCAGGTTCATGACTCCAGAGGGAAGAGATGCCTGGGGAAGAGACCAGTGTGAAGAAACACAGGGAAGAATCCCTGACCCCTTGGGTCCCCTGTCGCTACCCTGAACTAATCATTGTAGCCTGAATGTTCAGACCTGAATTATGTGCCCACCTCTATGGCCAAAAAGTTAAGGCCCTGTAATTGGCCACCCCATCAGAATCACAGGAATGTAGGGAGAAGGGAGTAGTTCTTTCAAGAAGGAGTAGGAGACGCAGTTACCAGAGTAAGAAATGCAGGGCCGACAAAAATAGCAGATGCCGACTATACTCCTGATGTGTGCACAACTCACCAGAAGAGCTTGCTAAAATGCAGAGTTTGATTCAAAAAGCCTTTGGCAGGGCCTGAGGTTCTATATTTCTTACAAGATCCCAGATGATGTCACAGACCACACCCAGGCAGCAAGGCACTAGCCTTCTTCCACGCATTGCCCTGATCGTCTAATGGGGCAGATGCTCTAAAGCTCGGGGCTCCCCAGCAGGGACGAATGCAATCTCACATGCTTGTCTGAGTGTTGTGCCTTTTCAGGACCAGCTGTGCTCCCGTCACAACACTGAAATAGAAGAGGTGTTACACGTCAGGATTGAGACATATGGGCAGAACTCTGTGATAAAAACACTTTACAATTTCATATCACCTTTCATTCCAGAGTGTTTAGAGGCCATATACATTCAGCACCACAGAAAGATGATAGAGGAAGCAGACTCCATGGGGTGAAGGAGGTGGCAAGAGATGGAGTGGGGGTGGGGGAATCTGTAAGTCAAGCATAGTGGGACATTTCTCTGCAAAAGTCAACACAACACCAAAAATGTAAAAGAGAAAAAAAAAAGCAAATGAAGATCTTTAAGGTTTATGTTGAAACAGCAATAGTACATAAGTTAATGTTCAGGATCATTTTCATGGAGTCATCTTAATCTAGGCAACTCCATAAGTTGCCTAGATATGTTGGTACTCTGTGAGCACAGATGGAAAAAAAGGAAATCAGAAATGAGCTAAACAAATAAGAAGATTAAAAATATTATCAGAAAATCTATAAGGTCTGAGTCTAGCAACCCCAGCTTATATAAGGTATGTCAGTTTTCTTAATTAAATGATTAAGTCTCAAAATCTTGAAGGGCAGTTTTCGATCACATGTTCTCTGGCATGGGAAGTAGCCTTTTGTTTCAGAGCATTTAGTAAAAGAAAGGACTTTTCTAAATGCTACAAAATGCAAACATGTAACTTAACCTTGATACTCCTGATAACAATAGGGGTAGTTAATATTTGTCCTGGGGAAAAAAAAGTCACTTTATGACAGAGGTTGAAAATGGAAACTAACTTTTAATGACTCCAGGAGTGTTTGCCTGTAAAAGAAATCCACATTCGAGCACTGCTGTTTCCCATTTGTTATCAAGGACTCCTGAGGGGCTTCCAGTGACTTGGAAGGAGTTCTATTTTCACTTCTTCTGGCTCCTGTGACTATGTCTAACAGCTGATAAATGAAGACCCACAAGCTCCCACAGGATGGTTTCAAAGGGAATGTGCTCCAGGCAGTATGTAGCCACCTGCCAGGGAAGCACATATCAGATCAAAACGGCAAGGAGAGAAATCTTTTCCCTGTTTCACATTTCCTGGTGTTTCCAGTGAATTCATTCTATTAATCTACTTTGTGAAATATTTAGTACCTCTGCTTATTTATGAGCATCCACAAAATCTTCAAGATAACAAGAAAAAAGGGAACAGGGATTCTTAGACCAGAAATGCGTCTTTCGTTCTTTTTTGTTCACCGTCTGCCTTCCCTTGTTTCTTCTCCCACTCATGCTTAAGACAAGGTGGTGAAGCCTTCCCCAGCAAGCAGATAACAGTAGTCACTCCATCAGGAGAATGGAATTTTAAATCACAGCATTATTGTTTTGTCAGAGAGAAAATCATGGTACTTCTAGAGCTCAGAAAGGGATTTTCCAGTACAGATATTTTCTTTATAACAGAAACTCCTCATTTTTATTAGGAAATACATTAAAATGACTTATTACTCTTGTGCCCTCACACAGTAATTTTGGGCTCCTGGCAGAGTCCTGGTCAAAAGCCTATTTTTATAAATCATGGGAAGTGGCTGTTGCAGCTGGTTATCTCTTAGGATTCTGTCAGTTCCACAACGAGAAATGGTGCTGCCACGCTCACTCCAAAGGAAGGTGGTGGTGAAGTGTGGGTTTCAGATAAGGATTTACACTGAGAGGCCAGCTCTAGAAACTACACAAAAGATAATAGATAGGAGACGGGCAAGGAGAAAGTTACAGTCATAAAATTAGAGTTATTACAAACAGGCAAATAAATGAACACGTTCCATTCTGGTTTGCTTTTACATTTGGCAATAGCACAAAAACAAAATTGAATATGTATCTTGTGAATTAAAATAATCTACTATGCCAGCTTGAAAGAGAAAGTTACCAATTAAATGGCGTATTTTAGATATCCAATCATCTTTGTTTGATTCAGCATTTGACTTATTAACTGATAGTCCATTTGCTTCTCAAAAACTTTAGGGTACCTCAACATTCAACGAATGTCAACCACATCCATATGAGTTGAGCATTTACTCTGTCCAGGCACAGTTCTAAGAATTGGGCATTTGTGGTAGTCAAGACAAGCATGCCTCTGCCTCTCAGAGCTGACAGTCTAGCAGTGTAGTCTAGTTAGCAAGGAGAATGGAATTGTTCATATGTGGTGATTGAAACCAGAACAGTGCTACTAAGAGCACTGTGACCACTGAATCATCAGCTACATTGTAGAAACTCACTTATTAAGTGTAAGTGTTATCCCTAATATAAAGGGTACCACATCACCTTTAGATTCTACAAAGTCTCTGTCTGCTAAGTCCACACTCATCAAAGACACTTTAGCATGGATACCAAAATATGTCCAGAACAGTTTCAGTCGAATTCAATTTAAGTCCATAAGCATCCATCGAGTGTCTCTGAAGTGTAAAGCACATTGTTTGGTCGTTACACCCACTCTTAGGTTGTCTATAATGGCATTCAGGAGATATTTACATAAAGAACAGGAATGGAAAGCAGAATGTAGTGGACATTCTGTAAGAGAAGTTTAAATTTAAGGTCTAGGTATACTTGGGGAGAAAATGTTAACTTTAGCTCAGATGACTAGGGAAGATCTCTATAGATAAAGTTTCAAGAACACCATGAAGGTTGAGAGGATCTCATCAGATTGGTTGGGTGAAGGCAGAAGAATGCAAAGATTAAGAATTAGCAGTGCAAGGTGATGGTCAGAATTCTAACACCGTCTTACTAGTTGCATGACTTACGCCAGTTTCTTATTTGTAAATGACAGTTAGAAAGATTAAATCATAGGCTTGTTGTTGGGACTAAAGACAATGATTCATGTAAAGTGCCTTACACAGTGCCTTTTATATAAGTACACAATAAATATTAGTCTCTATTATTGTTACAGAATAAGCATAGAGGAATGAAAACAGACAAGTACAGGGCATGCAAGAGGAATAGCTGATGAAGTCCATGAAGACCTCATTGAAAAAGGGAGCTAGAGGACAGATTATTGAGGGCCTCAAAATAAGAAAAAGTAATATGGCCTTTATTGTATAAAAAAATAAGAAACCACTCAAGGTTTGGAGTAAGAAAGTGACATAATTAAATCATAATTAAATTGTATGTCACTCTTACCAATTTTAAGACAATATTTCTGAAGTCTTTTTAAGATGCATGGTGGTAACACTGTTCACAATAGCAGAGACATGGAATCAACCTAAATGCCCATCAGTGACAGAACAGATTTTTTAAATGTGGTACATATACACCATGGAATATTATTCAGCCATAAAAACAGAATGACAGCATGTCTTTTGCAGGAATGCGGATGGAGCTGGAGGCTATCATCCTTAGCAAACTAACACAGGAACAGAAAACCAAATATCACATGTTCTCATTTATAAGTGGGAGCTGAATGATAAGAACTTATGAGCACAAAGAAGGAAACAACAGACACTGTGGTATGCTTGAGGTAGGAGGGTGGGAGGAGGAAGATGAACAGAAAAGACAACTATTGGGTACTGAGCTTAATACCTGGGTGATATAATAATATGTAAAACTCCCATGACACATGTTTCCCCATGTAACAAACCTTCACGTGTACCCCCAAACCTAAAATAAATTTTTTTAAAAAAGATGTATGGCTGTAAAATGATCATGACTTTGAGTACTACTAATAAGAATATCTACTATTCACCAAGTGCTTACTATGCATAGCATTGTGCAAGGTGCTCCACATATTTTTAAAATTTAATCGTTACCAAAAAAATCTATGAATCATGTATAAGCAAACTGATATTTAAAAAAAATTAGAAAACTGAGGCTCAGAGAGGTTAAGAAGAGCCAAGATGACATCCCTAAAGGAAAAATACTACTGAATGATGATTCCTTCAGGAAACCTAATAGTTCTGTTCTGGTTTGTTCTGTCCTTATATTTACCACACTACATTGCATTCAATTCTTAATTGTCTGTTTCCGCACTCGAGTGAAATCTTCTTGCATCAGGACCTTTATTAGTCATCATTATGATCATTGTGTTCTAGACAATCAACAGCCACATTGTGAGTGAATGCATACATAAATGACTGTAATTTTATGGCAGCATTTTCATTGTATAGCATATCTATAAGCTTCATCCGACCTGCTGCAAGCCTGTTAGTGTTGATACTAGAATATATGCATGTGAAGTTTATATTTTCACTTTTTAAATCTTTATAATACAGTTAGAATAGGGTTAAAAATTTTTCTGGCCCAATTAATGTATTTTGCCCCTAAAATGTAAGTAAAATAAGTATTTAATTCACATACCTTGTATTTTTGCCATCAGAAAAATCATGCTTTTTAAAAAATAATTTTCATTTTCTGGACAAAGGAAGTTTCAAATATCTACTCTTTGAGTAATCTTTTCCACGAAAAGGAAAAAAGCCATTTCTTAAAGCCGGATTATATTTAGAGTCCTCTAGAGTCAATTTGACCCAGATTCAGCCTAGCCAGAAAAAGAAAAGGTGATATACAAAACAAAAAAAAGATTGAAACATGAAAGAAAATTAATAACTCTGTATTAAAATGGGCAATCAATAAGGCAAAGAATAATACAAACCCTTCAGATCATTGTAGTATGGGGTTTTGTCTGGCTGACTGATGTTGATTCTCTGGCTCCAGACTAACGTGACATGGACAGTGGTTCTATTTTCTTTTGGTTAATACATTGAAACTAGTGCTATCTGTTAAACATTACTACGGATAATCTTACATAGCTTGAAATTTAAAAGAGGAACACCTATAAGGCAATTTGATTTTATCCAGAAGATTCAAAACAGAAATAATTTTTTTCTTTTTTGGTTCAGCACACACAATGTGAGACTTAGGATGGTTCATCATAAAGAGTAGTTCATAATAAAGAGTGAATAAATTTATTACATCTAGGACTTTAAAATTACCAGGAATAATGCAAGTAGATGATAACACAAGTATAAAATATACATACATAAATGTATCTGTATTGGATGGTTACCAAAGATTATAATTTCTGCATTTTGATTTCTATATCTCCCATATTTTCTACAGCTGTCTGATTCCATTGTGATGTTGGACTGCTGTCGGCTTTCAAGTGCCCCCACCACCCTTTCCCTTTACTTGGGCAAGCTCATAAGAAAACTTGCATGGTCCCTCCTTTGTTGCCAGTAGGGAGTGTGAACTATAAAATGCTAGGTCTGTGGGCATGAACCCTCACCCTACACCCATCCCCCAACTACAATAAAAGCTGAACAAGTCTGCTTTCTCTACTCTCTCAAGTCGTCTCTGGACCTGTTTGGGAGGCTACCCTGCTCTCTGCAGAAAGCCTCATTATGTGAGTAATAAACCTTGTCATATCTTTTTAGTGCATGTGTAGCTACATCAGTCTTGACATCAGAATCAGACTTTGGATGAAGGTTCACCTACCTCTGTGGCCTGAATGATAGCCATCAATATATATTGTTTTATGATTTCAAAAGCACATAAAAATGAACAAAGTTTAAAAGGTTTTAATGACCCTCATCAACATATACCACCTCTCTCCCCCTCTTTCTCTCTCTCACATACACACACACACACACACACAGCAAGGTAAAATCTGTCACTTTTCAATATATATTTCCTGGATATTTTGAAAAAAAAATTTATATCAAATTATGGAGGAAATTAAACTATTACTGCTTTCAAATAATTTTCTGTGAAAACGTTAGAAGTAACTAATAAAATGGACATTGAGGGAATTTTGATCAGAGAGTATAATGAAAATTTCAAAAGTAGCTGGGCATGGTGGCTCACGCCTATAATCCCAGCACTTTGAGAGGCTGCAGTGGAAGAACTGCTTGAGCCCAGAAGTTCAAGACCAGCCTGGGCAATATAGTGAGACCTCACTTCTAAAAAAATAAGAAGAAGAAAATTAAAAAGTATTAAAAGTAAATATTTATCAAGTGCTATTATGAACTAGACTCTATTTTTAAAAGCTTTGTATGTATTAACTCACTTAGTCCTCATGACAACCTTATGCAGTAGATACTTTTATAATTCCATTTTACAGATAAGGAAACTAAACCACAGGGAGATGAAGTAACTTGCTCAAATCACAGAGCTAGGAAGTAAAAGAAGTTGGATTTGGAAACCCAGGAAACATTTTCAGAACCATATACTATAAAATCCCCCTTAACTGTCTCCTTTACAAAATTAAATAACACCATATTTAATCATAGTTATATTTTATATTAAATTTATTATCTATTTCATTTATGTGAATATTTTCTAAGTTATAACAGTTTGCAAGCCCTAAACTAGACGAAGCTGAGAACTGGCAGATATTATGGATTAAATTTGCATAGCATTTATTTTCCCTTTCCTAATAATGGTCCAGTTTTCCTCCATGCATCCACCTCTTCCCTCATGCAGCCCATATTCATAAAGGTGCACTAACCACATCCCTATCTCCTGGGAAATTTGTTTAGAGGTAATCTCAACACATCTGCCACGGTGATTGGGTCAGGAAAACAGACATAAGCCGATCAGCACATGGCCTTGCCCTGGCCTCAAGGACTGGTGCAGGAATGGACATGTAATCTAATTTACACCAGTGAAATACAAAGAAAGGTTTACGTGAAACTCCTGGGAAATAATTTTTCTCACTCTTAATTAAAAACAACCAGAAAAAAGTTTTCACTTCCTCTGAAAATCATGAAATGAAACTGTGAGGCTTAAAGTAACTAGTCCTTTTGCTTCCAAAAGAAGCCAGCCTGAAGATGAAGCCAATACACAGAGGAGGCTACAGCTGAGCAAACTGAAGAGAACCAGCCAAAGCCACTGGATTAAATCAGACTGAAGCCTGTCCCCTCTGAATGTTCGAGCATGGGAGTTAATAATATTTATTTGTTTATTTAAGCTAGTTTAATTTTGTTTTCTGTTACTTACAGACCTAACTCACATATACCTAAAATCAGACTGCCTCTAGTGATTTTATACCACTCTATCCTTCCAACAAACATCCATACAAAACACTCACTCTCTTGGTACCAATGTAACATTCCATATTCATGTTGAGAGGAAACGTCAATAACTTTTCTCTGGGATTTGTGCCCGTCGGTCTGTATTTTCATTTGTAGAAGTGTTCTTAACAGCCTTCCTTCCCTATTTGTCTTCATGATTAATCCCAGGCTTTCTCAAAGTTTGTTCCTGAGTGCCATGTTGTAACAGATTGGGGGAAGGAAGCTCATCACAAGCTTGAGATTGTTTTCAGTGTTTATTCCTTGTACTCCCTGAGTCACCCTGAGACAGTGACTAAGAGGATCACGTGGAAGGTCATTGAAGAATGAAATAAAGTTTGTCAAGTTGAGCACTTAGAAGCATGAAAGCTCACACATTAAAAAGTGGAGAAGTAGCCAACAATTGATAAATGGCTGAATAAATTACATTCTAGGTACTCCAAGAAATATTATGCAATTTTAAAAAATATATGACTAAAAACTATGTTAGACTATGGTAGACTCTGAAGAAATAACTTAGCCATCATACTAATAGGTTAAAAAAATACAAACTTGTCTACATAGTATTTATAATTTACTATTTGAAATGGGCATTGATTATTTTATTAAGGAAAATTTTACTGTTTTAACATAAGAATGCTTATTCATTTAAGATATGTGAACATAAAGTTATGGAGGAAACATTTAGCACTGCATAGCTTGAAGATCTCAATGTCCACTTTCCCAAAGAGGTTTTCTAAGCCAGAGGAGAAGTACAGTGTCCAAAATAAGACCTCACACCCCATAAAATTTAAATACTGTCTCTCAAGTGCTAAGAAACAAAAGACTGCCGGTCAGGTCTTCTGGGTCACTTGGCAAACTTTCAACCTCCTCCACAGCAATAAAACCATGCAAGAAGCAATATAGCTGAGGAGGGGGCAAAAATAGGATTGGAAGGAGTTGTGAATCTGTCTGCCTTCACCAGATTATGCAAGGAAAAGAGGCAATGAATTAGATAATACCGGGCTGCAAATCTGTATTTATCATAACTTTCCAAAAGTGAAGAGCAAAGTGAAAGATAGAAATGAAGGACAGACAAGAGGAAAGTGAGGTAGAGGAGAGGGAAATAGAAAGACAGATGCCAGAGATATGTAAATAAAAGGACAGATGATAAACTAGAATTATGGATGTAGATAAAGGAGTTAATAGAAAGGACAGAAAGAAAGTGAACAGAGAACAAGACAAGAAAGGATACTCCCGGCGGCGTCAGACCTGATGATGAAAACTTTGGCAAGACCCAGGGAAGGGAAGGTGGAGGAGAATGACAAATGTGCGGCATAAAAATCAATCATCTTTTCTAGATCTCTGCAGGAACAAATTTTCCAGAGATTTAGATTTGGTAAACAGACCAAGCCGGATCACATGAGGAACTTAAAGGGGATTTGACATGTCAAACACACAGAAGCCAAGGTTTGCCTATAATGTTGAAAATAACACCATGCATGGCCTTTTAGTATCAGGCTCATTTCAAATAACTGCAATTCATAGAGGCTTCCCTAAGAAACCCAAGACAGTGTACTAGTTTTTATTTAGCTGTAAGATATGGCAATAATAATTCATACTTGATTTATATAGCCTTGTTAATTTTTCCTCTTCAAAGAAAGGAAAACGCAGACTTCAAAACTATGTGTTGTGTCCATACATGCTTTGTATTGTTTGTTAACATGTTTACATTTAATATTTTAAATTGACTCTATATTTACTACAATGCGATAGAACTGTCGGACTGAAAGAAAAGCACATTTGAAAATAGTCTATACTTTCTGATTTTTAAAATTAAGATTCTTTAAGCATAAACTGTTACCTGAGAGTGAATTATGGGCTTAAATTGCTTTATTAATTTTCAGATCCAGCAGACCATAAGCATAGTGATTAAGAGAATGAGCTTTGGAGTGAGATAGACCTGCCTGGGTCCAGGACCCACCATTTATCATCATGTCTGGCCTTTTTCATAACATTTCTGACACAGAATCTCCCTGTCTTTAAGATAAAGATAGCAATCTCTGCCTCGTGGCTATTGTGAGAATTAAATAATACATATTGAGCTCTTAGAACAGCACCTGACACATGATAAATATTCAGTAAATGCTTCCACAAGTTCTGAATGTCATCATTGGTATTGTTAATGTCATCGTCGATATTATTGCCAATATTCTTATCAATGAGAGTGGGAATTTTACTAAGGAAACATCATTTCTTGTATAGTTGCTATATTCAGACACACTGAGGTCCCTGACTTTCTGTGTATAATTTCCTCTGCCTGGAAAGTCCCTGCCACCACCTACCACCACCTCCTGCCTGGCCATGTCCCACTCATCTCCCACTCTCAGCTAAAACATGGCTTCTTACTAGAACCCAACCTTCACTGATCCCGAAGGATGGAGTTGACCCGTAGCACCCGCTCTTCACCTATGCTATTCTCATCACATTACACTGTAATTCCGCGTTTATTTTATAGACCTGTATGCTCCTCATATTATACACAGACATACACACACAAGTGAGCTTAAGCTCTATGAAAACCTAAATCTATCTTCTGGGCTTTCATTTCTAATACAAACATATAGCCAAAGCATTCCTGGCACATACTAAGTCCCTAATAAATGCAATTTTGAATAAATGAAAGATAGTTAGCAAATAGATGTTAAGAAATTTTATAAAACCTATGTGCTAGACTAAATCATAAAATATCTACTAATCAGAAGCATCCCATAACTACTGAACTATTAAATTTACTGATTACTTACCAAGAGTCCCCTAACTAAAGTAACTTGACAATAAATAAATAAGCTTGACATAGTTATGTGATCTTTGAAGTCATCGCTGAAGAAAGCAGTTTAAATTACATGCCCTCAAGCAAATTTTTTACAAAAGTTATCTTTCTTTTCTGAGCCCAGCTATTTTAGTAGCTTCTTGAGTAGAAGTTACTTTTATGGGGAGAGTGAGAGAAAATAACCATCAGAACTTCATTTAAAAAATTCAGCTACTAAACATTTGTGAGTACCTCTTATGTTAGGTACACAGGCAGATGAAAGAAAAATGAAACACAGCCTTTCCCTTCAATGGGCTGACACATAAACAGATAATTTTTTACACCCACCTACCTCCCCCTACCAAATTCATTCATAAAGGATAGTTATTTACCATTTATACCTATTTACTTAGTTTTAAACCTGAGGAAGACTATTATTAAATGTAAGTATGTACATTTATTTCCTTTTTAACTGAGATAAACTAAGCATGCCAGACTGTATCACAATTTTACGATTAATTCAATCTTTTGAAAATAAATCAATTTCTCCAAGTGCTCATGCTCATAACATCTATCAAAGAGACAAGATGATTTGTATGTAACCTCTAAAATTTTACCCCAAAACACCTAATGATTTTTCCTCTTGGCAAAAGCTTCTGTAAACCTGTTGAAATTACTCGTGTTCTGTCCTTTGGGGACAATAGGCTAGATCAGCTCCCTCTCACACTGCATTTTTCTCAAGATTCACCAGGAACATTATAGACCCATTTAACAGGCGGCTGGTCTTGTTTCTTTTTCCCACTTTCTCCACCCCAAGAATGATATACTAGATTTCTTTTTTCTTTTCCTTTTTCTTATGCAAATATCCAAAGTAGTGGGGACATTCCTAAGAGCAGACAGAATTTAAACCAAAAGATTAATTTCATGAACCTGCATGGAACAAGAGCTTTGCTTGTGGAACAGGAAATGAATGGGGTTTTTCCATTCTTCAAAGCTGAGGAAAGTGAGTGAGAACTATGAAGATACCAGTTCTTTCATAATACGGTAAGTCATTAGAGAAAAAATTAGGCTCCAGAAAAGATACATACAGATAAACATTGTCACCATTTCCCTTTCAAAGTTAGGAACACCTTAATTTGTATTTACACATTCTGCCTTCTCCTCACCAAGGCAATGCTTAAAGTGGCTCTTAGGCTTTATGTATGTATAAAGAAAGCTTTGGTTTTGATGCATTAAGGAACTAGGATGTGACTGCTCCTAGCATCTGACTGTTGAGTATTCGCATCCTTCCTTCCTGCAATGCAGTTCATTCTCAATAAGTGACAAACCCTTATTTCAAATTCAGAAGCTATGGTTCTATTTTCCATGATACTAACACCCCTACAGTATGCTTCAGGATTCTGGTAGGAAAAAGATTCACTCCAAATCAACCAAATGAAGAAACTCCAATGAAGTGAGAACTTACATTAGTTTTGGGCATGATGAAGGAAACAAACAAAGAATGGTGAGACACCCAGAGACTTCAATAGTGGGAAGCAAAAATTAGCACCACTGGCACTGAAGGAAGAAAGGGAGAAAATATTGTTCCAGGAACCCAGAGAGACCTGAGGTTGAGAAGCAGGGACCAGTGATGGGAGCTGTAGCCATAGAAGATGGAATAGGAGGAAAAGGAAGTAAACACTCTGACCCCTTTTTCCTCCCATCCTCTTATTCTCCCATTGATCTCCTATTGACCAAATCCAACTGGAGGATAGCAATCAGCTATGGGGGAATCCAGGTAATGAAATCTGTAGGGATCAGTGTCCCGGAGTAAAACACAGGATAGAAAAGGGCAAAGAATGTATCTTGGATTGAAAGAAATATATAAAGAAAAAAATTTACAGACACACCCAAGTAAGACTTGTTAGTAGGTCACTAGACTGTTTATCATTTAACAATATTTATCCCTGGTGGTCTAAAGAAGAGAACCATAGGGAGCTCTCCTGGTGAGGATTCTGTAATGCATTTATGTATAAATAGTACTGTCTCATTTCCTCTCTCCTCAAGCCAAATAAGTCTTCCAAAGAGAACTACTGAAAAAGATAGAAAAGATGCTCTCCAGAAAGACAGACTGCCAGACAATATCCTTGCTGAGAACAAAAGCTCACAGTCAACCCTATATTACCACGGGCACAGAGTGAGAGAAGGTTCTTGGCTTTTTTCCTCTGGAGTTTTAGGACATAGATTCTGATGTCTGACCTCTTTTGAAGAGATGAGAACAGATAACTGGCCAGAAAAACCATGACACCTGAGTGAAGAAAGAGTAGTTTAGTGAGATCATGCCACAGTCCCAAGGATTAGGTTGACACTAAGGAAGATATATGGGCATGAAGCAACTAAGAAAACATTGCCCAAAATGACTGCTTTCCAGGGCCATGAGATACCAGCATAACAAGGCTCTATGGGTATTGGAGAGCCAAGAGAGAACTAGCAGTCTTTGTTAATTTAAAGGCGCTTTTTCTCTCATCCTCCACTCACCTCTCCTTCTTCCATCCTGAAGCAACCTGACGTATGGAAAGGAAAGGCAGAAGCAAGAAAAATAGAACAATAATTCACCAGATCCCCCTAGCCCACTGCTGGCCACTTAGTCACTAGGCAGGGAAAGAGAGAAGCTTTGATTTGGATGAGAGATCGAAAACAGTTTTCTTTTGGATTATACCAAACCACTAAATACCTAAAAGTAGCTTGAGATCAGACACCTGGCATTGACTATGCAGAAGGCTGCAAAACCTCAGACAGACTCCAAATTAGAGGAACCAGGTCCTTCTAAAGTATAAGTTGAAGGGTGGGCCAGAAAACAGGCAGATGTATTGAAAATCATGATAGACAACAATCAGAGCCCCAGATTTCCCTCCTAACTCTTATCCTAGTCATGGGGCTTCTCCTCTTCCATCCCAAAGAAGACTGAGTAACAGCCCTCCCTCGAGTAGAGAGGCTTTTAAGATTGCACAGCTAAGAATGACAATGAGGCACCACAATGAAAAGAGGGGATTATGTGACAGTTGACCCACCTAACACTGGGAACCCTTCACCTCTTTGCCCACCTGGAAACCAGAACACTGGCAGCTGCGCTGTCCTAGCAAGTGTCTTGGATTCTTATAAAAGCAAGCTAGTGGGACACTCATGGTGGCTGATGCCTGTAATCCCACACTTTGGGAGGCAGATGGAGCACTCAAGCCCAAGAATTCAACACCAGCCTGGACAACATAGTGAAACCCCATCTCTACAAGAAATACAAAAATTAGCCAGGCATGGTGGCACGTGTCTGTAATCCCAGCTACTTGGCAGGCTGAGGTGGAAGAATCAGCTGAGCCTGGGGAGATTGAGGCTACAGTGAGCCAAGATCATTCCACTGCACTCCAGCCTGAGTGACAAAGTAAGACTTTGTCTCAGGGAAAAAAAAAAAAAAAGGAACTCACTGGCCTAAAAGGGAAGACACCTTGAAGAGGGAAATTGAATGGCAAGTGTCAAGGAGGAAGGAAGATACACTTTCCATTGAGTAACCTTCTTACTGTTTGAAGGGTTGGCCATTTGGATATATTGCCTATTAAAAATCATAAATATATGCATTTTAAACTATAATGAATTCCTCAAAGAGATATAAGAAGATATCGAGGCCGGGTGCAGTGGCTCACGCCTGTAATCCCAGCACTTTGGGAGGCCACGGAGGGTGGATCATGAGGTCAGGAGTTCGAGACCAGCATGGCCAATACGGTGAAAACTCATCTCTACTGAAAACACAAAAATTAGCTGGGTGTGGTGGCATACACCTGTAGTCCCAGCTACTCGGGAGGCTGAGGCAGAAGAATCGCTTGAACCTGGGAGGTGGAGTTTGCAGTGAGCTGAGATCATGCCACTGCACTCCAGCCTGGGCAACAGACCGAGACTCTGCCTCAAAAAAAGAATAAAAAAGTTGTTTCAGAAGATATTGAGTCTGTGAAACAAACAAACAAAAAAAGGATGCTCCAACAGAAGGAACAGTCTAACACCAGAAGGGATCTGTTAGAAACGAGAACATGATCACAAAAATAAAATGTGATAGAATGAAAGTTTCCAGAGATAGAAAGCAAGCTACATAAAAAATACTTGGAAATCAAAATGTTACCTTCTCAGCAGCAAAACTGAGCAATGGAGAAATATCTTCACAATTCTAAGGAAAAGATTTTTCTACCTAGAATTCTAAACCTAGCCAAATTCACGATCATTTTAGAGGGTAAAATAATATTGTGTAAAATATCAAAACAAATGTAATTCCTATCACCTTTTTCAGAAAGCCACCAGCGCATGTGAACCAAAAAAATGGGAGCAAAAAATCAAAAAACAGATATGAGGTCAAGAAAATAGGAGACTCAACATAGAAGAGACAAAAACTTCTCTAGAGTGTCAATAAAAATTAGGATCTAGAAAACAATTAGTCAAGAGTGAAGCAGGAGGACAGAAGCCTCCATAAAGGATGTGTCCAAGAAGAAAGAAACAGAGGAAGGAGGAAAGGATGGTGAGAGGACAGGAAAAAAGAAAGAAAACAAGGAAAAGGAAGGAAGGAAGGAAGACTCTCTTCCATGTTGAGTCTCCTATTTTCTTGACCTCATATCTGTTTTTTGAAGGAAGGAAGGAAGGAAGGAAGGCAGGCAGGCAGGCAGGCAGGCTCTCTTCCATGTTGAGTCTCCTATTTTCTTGACCTCATATCTGTTTTTTGAAGGAGGGAAGGAAGGAAGGAAGGAAGGAAGGAAGGAAGGAAGGAAGGAAGGAAGGAAGGAAGGAAAGGGAGGGGAGGGGAGGGGAGGGGAGAGGAGGGAAGGAGGGAAGGAGGGAGGGAGGGGAGGGGAGGAGGGAAGGAGGGAAGGAAGGAGGGAAGGAGGGAAGGAAGGAAGGAAGGAGGGAGGGAGGGAGGGAGGGAGGGAAGGAAGGAAGGAAGGAGGGAGGGAGGGAGGGAGGGAGGGAAGGAAGGAAGGAGGAGGGAGGGAGGGAGGGAGGGAGGGAGGGAAGGAAGGAAGGAGGGAGGGAGGAGACAAAGAAGAGAGGAAAGATATATTTGACTAAATTGAAAGGACTCTTGTAATTCCCAGAAAATTGGAAAATAGATTCGTGAAAGTATCTAAAAAGTATTTGAGAGAGAGAGAAGGGCCAGGTGTGGTTATCTCGTGCTTGTAGTCCCAGCTACTCAGGAAGCTGAGGGAAGATCGCTTGAGCCCTGGAGTTTGAAGCTGCAGTGAGTTATGATCGTGCCACTGCATTTCAGCCTGGGCAACAGAGCAAGACCTTGTTCCAAAAAAAAATAAAATAAAATAAAGAAAGAAAGAAGGAAAGAAAGAGAGAGAGAGAGAAAAGAAAGAGAAGCAATTATTAACTGTAAAAAATAATATGATTAAAGTAAACAACCTGGCTCAACTGTGAAAAATATTTGCTTATTTGTAACACTGACTAATACTTTAACTAAAACGTGTGATACAGCTGTATCCGCAGACTGAGGTGTGGTGAGCTGGGCGGGCAGCAAAGTATACTGCAGGTTGAGAGAGCTAAATCTCCATCTTCCACAGTAATTAATCTAAAATTGTCAAAGTAAGGAATAACAGTTTAATAATTTTATTCTATAATATAGAGGTAAATAATAGAACAATCAATTGAAAGACTTTGAAGTAGATACTTTTGAAGAATGAGAATTGCAGAAGGGTTGGGTAGAGATTGGTTGGAAATTCTTGCTGTTATAAACTTGAGAGTATTATTTCAAATCTTAATCTATAGACACATATACAATATGTTATATGTGTGTATGTATATTACTATGATAGACATTAAATTTTAATAAAAAATTAAAGGATCAGCGATAAAATTTACACTTTTCTCCATTATATTCTGAGAAATTTGTAAGGCAAGATACTTATTAAAGTAATGAAGCCGGGCGTGATGGCTCACGCCTGTAATTCCACCACTTTGGGAGGCCAAGGCGGGTGGATCGCCTGAGGTCAGGAGTTCGAGGGCCTGGCCAACCTGGCAAAACCCCGTCTCTATTAGCAGGGTGTGGTTGTGCACACCTGTAATCCCAGCTACTTGTGAGGCTGAGGCAGGTGAATCGCTTGAACCTGGGAGGCGGAGGTTGCAGTAAGGAGAGATCGTGCCACTAAACTCCAGCCTGGGCAACAGAGTGAGACTCTGTCTCAAAAATAAATAAATAAAATAATAAAGTAATGGGAGATGTTTCCATTGCAAGTTTGAAGAAATTTTACTTTCCAAAACTACCCTTTAGCCTCAATGTGAGTAACACAAAGAACATGGAGTTTGGAGTCAATATAACCAATATTATGCTAATATTGCCAACTTCAAAGGATTCTTACAACAAATAGAGATAATCTATGTGAATAGCCTGGCATATAGTAGGTACAAAATAATTGTCTTTATTATCATTATCTTTAAAGTAGCTTATAGTCAGCTATAACCTTGCATAATACTGTTTCTATCAAACTTATTTTCACAGATAAAAAACATCAGTAAGGAAGAGAAAGTGCTAAATACATAATGGCCACATTAATGCCAAGAGGTAATTAGATGATTATAAGATCCTTGTCCTAAGGTGTAGTAGCAATTAGTGCTATTCACCAAATATTCCATCAGGAGCCTTCTAAACATATGGCTGGGGGAAGGGAAGCATGAAATTACTTTTGTCCCATGTGCTGTGAGCAGGAAGTAGTGTGTGTCATCTGGGCCAGGCATTTAATTGCAAAGCAAGACCATCCAAAGCTCTCTTTTCCACCTGGCATAGTGACCAGTAATGTTCAAAACAGTGGCCACTCTCTCAGCCTTGGTTCCTGAGTGACTACAATGTGCAAAGCTTCCCTGAAAACCCACAATTAACATGCAATGTGAGCAAAAAATAAAACTTACTCTTAGATCGGTGAGTTTATTTGTTACTATCCTAACCTAACCAATAAATTAATGATGACAATTGTCTGGCCAGCAACCCATCAGATACTCATTCTCTCTCTCTCTCTCTCTCTCTCTCTCTCTCTCTTCCCACCCCTCCTTCTGTCTCTCCTTTTTCTATTAGGTCTAAAATTAATAATAAATATATGGCAGGAGGTACTTACCTGAAAGATGGAATAGTCACGTGCATGCTTGATAAGCACACACAGAAAGAAATTCTGCAGAAAAAAAGAAGAGCAGACTATGTGCCTATCCTGTGCAGAGAGTAGAGACGAGACTCTCATAGGGACAAAAAATGAAAGTAAATGAATGACAATTGTGTGGTTCCTTTGAGCTGGGCTATATTTCCTATATTTTATTTCTAAGAGAAGCCATTATTTTCTCTTGGCAAGCCTTTTTGTTACTTGAGCTAGTTTGAATGGGTTTTATTTCCCTTTACAACAAAATGAATGCTGATTAAAACTGCACCTTGGATTACAGCAAGACACATGGTGCCCAGGAACAATACAGGTAGCATATTGCTAAAAAGGAGAACAGCAGAGAGATTAAAGGGATAATTCCTTGCTCCACAGCCCAACAGTGAAGCCAAACAGTGCAGTTGCCAATGACAAACTCAGAAAACCCACAAATAAGCCCCAATGAGAACAGCATATCATAATGAATGTTCATGATCTGTTTGCTGAAATAGAAAAGCAGTTGCTCATTTTCTGAATTAAAGAAATTCTAATATTCTATGTAGTAAAATATCTACATAAAAATGTGTCATCCATGAAAAAATGTTAATATGCAGAAATCTCAACCCAAGGAGAATGTACATTAGGCCCAAGCACAGCTCATCTGGTATGTACAAGTGCTGCAGGGAAAACTAGAACACCTGCATGAACATTTGATTACTTAACCAGGGCTTTTGTCTAGTCTGTCAAATCCCTCTGTTAGAAATCCCTCTTTCTGACACAATAACAACAGAACCAGTTTTTCAAATGAATGTTCTTTGACTCCAAAGAGCAAGCCAGGACTCATACTCGCCGTGTGTGTCACCATCTCCTTTCAGGAGACAGTTGGTAATTACTGCAGGGCTTCACTCTGGAGAGGGTTTGCCCCTGCAACTTTCACTGATTTGTTTAACTAGCAGTGAAATGAGATTTACATGCCTTTCTCCCAAGGTGGTCTTCTCTAAAAACCACAGCAAAATGTTCATCTGCAAGCTGAGCTCATGGGTAAATAAAAGCAGGTCCCTTCTTTCCTAAAGTGGAAGGTCTAATTTTACAGTCTTGATTGCTTTCCTAATTACAGACCCCAATCATTGCCACAGTACCAAGTGGTGACAAGAGTTCTGTAACTGGTTATATATCCCATCCCAATCATGAACCTCCTCATTCAAGTTCAATACAGAAGCATCTCAAATCCACACTGTTGCAGGTACTCAAAACTTCACTTAAACAAAAGCTTCGATCCCCTTTTCACTGGTTCTCCATTCTCCCTACTATACCTTTACCTCTCTATTGTGTCACCAAGAAAATATGCTCTTTTCTTCCAATAAAAAAATTAAAATAAAAAAAAAACCTAGTCCAAAGGACAAGCATCACCTCCTATGAATATAATGCTGAGGAATAACAAAGCAACACAGATACTAAAGCCACGAGAGATTTTGTTTGCTTTGCTCATTTCTCAAAAATAAGATGAGTGGAGACAAGGAGGGTATGTATCACAGGCAGATTCCCACCCCTTTGGCTGGGAAGTAGGCAGACACAATTCTACCAAGAATATGAAAGTCTTAAAGTAAAATGAGAGTTGCAGGCAACTTTTTGCAGGAGAAAAATCCACAGAAAAGCATCAGTCCATCCCAGAAGAGTTCATTAGAAGAAAACACTGGCCTCCATCTGTCCACACTCTTCCACTTGAGAATTTGAAAAACCCAAAGATTCCCCTGAAGATGTGCCTTCATCCCAGGCACTATGCCAACTCAAATCTGGGAGGAAGAACAGAGGAAAGCATTTTAACTGAAGCCTAGGCATAGAACATAGTACTTTGTAATTCAGTAGCATTCCTGCTCCATATGTCTAAAATTCTTTGCAAGTATGGGTTTTATTAAGCTCCTTTTTAGAAAACAGGAAAGTAAACTGAGGTGGAATAAAGGACTTAAGTTTCACTCCACTAGCAGGGCAGTAAAAAAAAATAGAGGGAGGATCCTAGAAACACCTATTGTGAACTGGGCCTCTGATGTCTAAGATGCTGCCAGTCGCCCCAGCTCTGAATCACCTCCACCTCAAGGAACAAGGTGGCACAATTACACCTAAAGAGGGCTAAAAGGTGATGAGAAGAATCTCAGCAGTGAAGAGGTCACTGTGAGGTCACTATCCACTACCCAATCTTGGAGATTAAGGAAACAGGGAGGAAGAGACCACATCAGCTCTCCCCCAGCCGGCTGCAGGTCTATTGCCTCACTGAATAGCAACACTATCATGCTAACTCAGCTGGTCCCAGCAGTGAGGTTTAATTCCTGTAATTATTAACTTGAACAAGAAATTATTCCACCTACTCATTTTTTTCTCACAAAAAATGAGTGCAAATAAGGTAAACAGAGTCACATCTTAATTTTCATTCTCTCCAACTACCTCTGCAGTTAGTTTTATCCATCCAAGGTGCTAACTATGAAAAAAAAATACTGTAAACAAAGAACAATTTGCATGTTTAATGGAGAAAAATTTTAGAATTACTTTATTAAAAATTAGAGTATTTCGGCCAGGTGCGGTGGCTCACCCCTGTAATCCTAGCACTTTAGGAGGCCGAGGCGGGTGGATCACGACTTCAGGAGATCGAGACCATCCCGGCTAACACAGTGAAACCCCGTCTCTACTAAAAATACAAAAAATTAGCCCGGTGCAATGGCAGGCTTCTGTATCCCAGCTACTCAGGAGGCTGAGGCAGGAGAATGGCTTGAACCCGGGAGGCGGAGCTTGCAGTGAGCCGAGATTACACCACTGCACTCCAGCCTGGGTGAAAGAGAGAGACTCCGTCTCAAAAAAAAAAAAAATTAGAGTATTTCTCTCTTCATTCTGGCAGGCTTCTTACTCTCCTCCCCACAAAGTACACTAAAGTGTGCAAGCATGATGTCCTAATGAAGGCTACAGAGAAAGAGTAGCTCAGTGGCACTTGCTATCAGAGAATATATTTACTTATCTTACATTTTCTCCTTGCAGGCAGTCATTTTTTTATGACCCATTTTCTAGAGAAAACTCTTTTTGGGGGTAAACCAATAATTAACTAACCTGAGCAACATCAATCAAGGCCGAATTTCACCTAATGGTGAAAAATCAGGTCTATTTGACTGACTTCTTTTTTTCAAGGCTTTTATTACCCAAATCTCTGCCCACATGTATATATATATATCGCTTAAAATAAGAGAATATGCAGGAGTACAGACTTTATCCTCCCTATATCTAGAAATTCTTAAACCTTTATATTTTACCACTGTATATTCTTAAGTTTCGTATTTATGAATAGCACACAACATTCTTTTAAGTTGAGCTACTCCTAATATGATTTCCAGTTTACAGATAAGGAAACTGAGGCACCAAAACAGATTAGATATATCATTGTTCTTCACAGTTAAGAGTCTACTGTTGACAATATTAAGAGAGACAACAGGGCAAGTCAGTTACAAAGCTGGATTAAACCTTCATGTTCTCCTAGGTTCATGCTTGATCAAGGAACCACCTTGTCATGCCCTCATGGTCATGAAGGTGTGTCAACTTTTTATAATGTCACTCACTTTAAAGGAACCCTGTCTTTATTTAGTTGGCCCTTTATCTTGGTCCTGCCTATTTCAGATCAGCTGTCTGCATATTTCCATGTTTTGAGTATACTCAAGAGCAAGACTGTAAAGAATACAAAAATAAATCAGACCATAAAGATTATCAGCCTGAATGCCACTAGGAGACAAAAGAAACTGCCACAAGGAACAAGGGAAATTAACATTCTTTCCTATCCACCTGGCAAGAACGGAGATCAAACTGAACTTGTTTGCAATCCCTGTTAACAAGGAAGCACTAAAAGCATAGAGATTCCTCTAAAATATTCTGGAGCTACAAAAACTGAGGTTTCCAAAGACCCTCTTTCACCATTTATTATTCTCCCCCGGTAACTCCATGTTTTTTTATATTCTCCTGATTAAACTGCCATAAATTTTTTCTGAAACAAAATAAGGAATGGATTAATGAGTGGATGAATACCAGAAAACATGCAAGCTTTATAATCAGACAGACCTGGTGTTGAATACCAGCTTTGACATTTATTAGGTGGGTGACACTGAGCAAGTTACTTAGCCTCTCTAACCTACTTAACCTCTCTGAGCCACAGTGTTCTCATCTGCTTAAAAGATGGATAATAATGCCTCCCTCTTGTAATGATTTTAAAAGAATGTATATAAAGCACTTTATATACATATCTACTGGCACAGTATAAATATCTACTGGCACACAGTAGATATTCAGTAACTAGTAGCTATTAATTAGAGCTTCTAATCAGCCTGAATTACCAATAAAAACCATTCGGCATCAACGTAGTTCCAGAGTGAGAGAAAGACTTAAATCAGCCTGACTAGCTTTATCACATGCTAGTCCATGTGATCAAGTTAACTCCAGTGAGCAAGCCAGGATTAATTCTATACAGGCATTTTGGAAATAGTTTGCAGCTGCCCGATTATTACCTCCAGTAGTTAATGGGCATTCAGGGGCTACCAAATGCAATGTTAATACTCTTTACCTCTCTGTGCAAAGCAAAATATATTTCATCAATGTATTTGGAAACAAGTAATGAAGTTCAAAATGTCCTTAATCTCATTTGTAGAATCTACTAAGTGATTTAGTGCAATAAATATTCAATATTAAATTCCAGTTACTATAAATTATTTTTTGAGAAATTGAAAATTCCTCTATTAGAGTGAGTTTCTAGATTCAGCAATTGAAGTCATGTGACATTATATATTGCCATTTAAAACCTCTGGGCCAGGCGCAGTGGCTCACTCCTGTAATCCCAGGACTTTGGGAGGCCGAGGCGGGAGGATGACAAGGTCAAGAGATTGAGACCACCCTGGCCAGCATGGTGAAACCTCGTCTCTACTAAAAATACAAAAATTAGCTGGGCATGGTGATGAGCACCTGTAGTCCCACAGCTACTCGGCGGGGCTGAGGCAGGAGAATCGCTTGAACCCGGGAGGTGGAGGTTGCAGTGAGCCGAGATCGCACCACTGCACCCCAGCCTGGGCAACAGAGCAAGATTTGGTCTCAAAAAACAAAACAAAACAAAACAAAAACAACCTCTGAGCTATGATTTCTCACATGTCTAATGAAAAGGTTGAACTCGGTTTCTAGTTGAAATGCTTCCTTTTACCACGTCACACATTTTGTGTGTGAAAGATGGGCAGCAGTGGGTAGAAAAAACTGTTGAAGTAGGAGAGGAAAACAAACAAAAAATGTTATTGTCCCTTAAAATTGAAATGAGTTATCCAGATCATGCATTCAAAGCTCTAAAATTCTATGATTCTCAAAAGACGATTGTACCACATATATCTTTTTATCTCTTCCCCACCTTCATCTCAACCCAATGTATTTTCTACAGTAAGCATTCAATAATATTTGTCAATGAAGAAACAAATGAATGCATAAACTTTTTTAAAAAAAGCTTAAAGGCCATAATCTAATAGTCAAAGAATTGTCTCAGGTCTTGCTCTTCCTATATACTTTAATTCCAGTGCATAAATACATAACAACCATGATTTGTCCCTAGAAACATCTCCAGGGTAATTGTATGAGAATAGAAGACTAGACAGAAAATAGCAGTGATGCTGGTGGATCACAAAATGGAAGAAACGTTAAAATTTATTCTGAAAATTAAAAAAAAAGGCAAGTGACATTTTTCTGGGTTTCTATTTTAAGTTAAAATGTAGTGGAACAATCTGCTAAGAAAATTAATTCAATATGTGTGAAAGATAGAATTCCAATCAAACAACCAGCTTTTGAAATCTGTATAGTCACATGGTAGAAAATCAACAGTAAAAGACCAAGGACTTCTGTTTTAATTTCACACTTAGTTTGGATGAAGCCACAAACTTTGCCAAGCACGTGAGGAATACTTTCTGCTGAATAGTTTTAATTTGATCTAATTGTTCTTGACAGTTTCTTTGATTACATCATGGATTCTGCACATTAAAGATGGGCCGTGGGTAGAGAAAGCTATTCAAGTAGGAAAGAGAAATAGAAAAAAAAATTAAGCTGCTTTCCTTTAAAATTGTAATAAGCTCTCCAAGTCATACTAAACTGTATTATGTAATGTATGAAAAAAGGGAAATGAAGTTAGCAAAAATTATATTACATTCAGTGTTGGGAGTATTAGCTCTCATTATTATATTTTCAATAATTCAATAAATTATCACACCTACAGTGCATTTTATCCTTTAAATTATGTTAAATCAGTAGTCAAATTTTACTTAGGAATTAAGGTTTCACTTTATTGATGCCTTCCTTTAAGTAAGCTGCATTTCATTGTGGTATTGGAATGAGATTTATTAACATTTTTATTCTCCCAGACTTTGCCACCTTTCCCCACTCCTCACTCTCCACCTAGAGAGTGTTAGCTTGGACCACTCAGCTTTCCTGCCCTCTATGGAGAATTTCATCTTGCCATTTCAATGCCTCTCCTCATATTTTCTGGGCATCTTCAGGGATACCCTCAGAGTAACCTGAATATCCTCTGAGCCCTGATAGTTATGGGTCCCAGGTAACCCTAATTTCCCAGTCGTCAAACCAAGCACAGTAGCATCAACAGAATACCTCTATTGTCCATTAAACAACAGCAAGGAGGATAGAAACCAGTAACTTCATATAATCAGACCAGCTGCTTGCAATTCTGAAGAACATCTGCTAACAAGTCTCATACTTTCTTTTTGATAGGCCAGCATGTGTTGTTAAGTGGTCTATTCAAATCTTAACTCTGGCCCTAATAATATCCCCTGTTAAAATAGCGAGAATATCAAAGCAGAAAATATGCAAAAAAATTACTAGATATGACCAATAAACAATAATTATATAAAAACAATAATATCCTTTTTAAAAGTTTCAGTGGTGAGAGATAGGAATCAAAAGTGTAAATATAAATACAAGACCAGATAGTGAATAATTAGAGGATGTGGGTGTATCTTTCAAATGGATTTGTGGAAAAAAACATGGAATAGAAGTTAGTAGATGCTGAAAGTAAAGCATGAACTTACAGCAGGGATCAGCAAACTATGGCATGCTGCCTGCCTTTGTAAATAAAGTTTTATTAAAACATAGCCTCACCCATTCTTTTGCATGCTATCTATGGCTGCTTTCCCATTACGACAGCAGAGTTGAGCAGCTGCAGTAGAAATCAGATGGCCCACAAAGCTTAAAATATTTACTATCTGACACTTTATGGAAGAAATGTTTGGTAACCTCTGTCTTAGACTTTAAAAAATCATCATGAGGAAAAAAGTCTGATTAAGTTCATACCTTAAGTTCATACCTTGAATTATTTCACATATTAGGCTATATATGAGTGATCTCAATTTCACCATTTGGTGGAAGTGACAAATTTGGAGAGGTCTATGCTATTCTATAGATTTTTAATATAGGGCTAATTTGTAAAGTATACCCTTGTCTACTCTTGCAAAAATACTAAGGTACAAAATTTCTTTGCATATTTGAGTTATAACATCTTCCAAATAAAAATAAGAATATACTGTAAAAGCATCTGAGGAGGATGAAGAAAAAGAAAAGGCCTTTAGGGATGGTTCAGGGAGAGAGTCTGAAGGAACCTAAGGAAAAAGTCAGCACTGCCAAAGTTCTCTGTGGTTAAAAGTTCTGCTAACCATCTGTTTATCAGCTAATTGCGACAACCTCAGCTACTCTGCCTCTATTAAGTGGTGAAACTGGGCCTCACCACTCCTGAATCCTGTGATCCTCAGTGAAATCAGGAAGCCCATTTCAATGGCAGCCTTTCCCATGTTCAACTCCAGCCTAGAGAGAACAACTCTTATACATTTGGGTATCCTTTATCCAAAATACTTGGGACCAGAAATGTTTCAGATTTGGGATTTTTTTTTCAGGTTTTGGAATATTTGCATATGCATAATGAGATATCTTGAGGATGAGACCCCCAAGACCAAAAATTATATAAAACATGATATTTATTTGTTTTATATATATATATATATATATATATATTATACAAAATGCTGAAGGTAATTTTATACAATATTTTTGGTAACTTTAGCATGAAACGAAGTTTGTGTACACTGAACCATCAGAAAGCAAAGGGGTCACTATTTCAGCCACCTATGTGGACAGTCTATGGTTGTTTGGCATCACCATCATCCCTGATTCTGAATTCATCTGCTACAAATAACCAATCATTTTCTTACACTTATTCACCTATAAGTACTTAACAGTAAAAAATATGATATACCATTAATACAGTAAAATAATAATAACAACAATGTTTTCAGGGTAACCAAGCACAGTAGCATCAACAGAATACCTCTATTGTCCATTAAACAACAGCAACAACAAACAATGGCAGGCTTCCCATCTCCACCTGTGATTCTGTGTTTTGATTAAAAGGTTACTGTACACTGTATCTCATTGTTTTAGGTGTGAAGAAGCATCGGAAGTGGGTCCTGCAGGGCTGAGGAGGCATTCTGCTGGGTGCTTTTTAAAAATGTTTCCTCCAGAGTCATCTGCCTCATTGACAATGGTTCTTGTAAGTCTTTCTTTGATTTTATAAACTGACGTGATTTCTTATTCTGTTATGAATGCATGCTGCTCTAGTCATTCAATAAGCTCATCACTCATTTTCACCACGTTATCTATAGGCACTTTTTCAACAGTGTTAACAATATCATCTTCATGATCACTATTATCATAATCACCTTGATTCAGAACCATTTTGGCTATTTCACCATCAGACAACGAATGAACAACTGTTAAAAACTTCTTCAATATCCACTTCTTCCAGCTTACTGATGGACTCTGAAGGTATATTTTTGCATATGTAAGAAGGTCAGGCCTGGATTTTTCTCACTTGACATATGAAATCCTTCAAAATTGCCACCTTGTTCATCATCATCGCTGAGCATAATCACAGGCCAGAGGTTGTGCCAAGCACACACAAATGTATCTTCAGTGTTCTAACTGTTGGCAACAGCACGTACAGCATCCTTCATGCTAAACTTCTTTTGAAACCTTCCACACCCACACCTCTGTTCACTGCTGCTACCATGATGTTCAAGAAAGTGTTTTTATATTTACTCTCTATTGATCTCAGGATACCCTTGTCAGGTGGCTGAATTAATGAAGTCACATTTGGGGGAAAGTACACGGCATAAGCATTATTTTTTATGAGAATTTTAGCTGAAGGAAATAAGCAGAACAGTTTTCAAGAAATAAAATCTTTTGGTCATCATGCAGTCTAGCTTCCCTGTAGTGAGCACAAGATGCTGGTACAAAATGTTTGTGAAACTGATCAGAAAAGATGTTCCTGATGATCTATGCCTTTCTGTTAGCATAATAATGGACTGGTAAGAAATTCACTCCTCTGTAACTGCAAGGACATGGGTACAAAAAAATAGTTTAAAAGAATGAATAAGATCTAATATTTGATAACACAACTAAGTGACATAACCAATAATAATTTAATTGTACATTTAAAAATAACTAAAAAATATAACTGGATTGTTTGTAACATGAAGGATAAATGCTTGAGGTGATGGATAACTTCATTTACCCTGATATGATTATCACACATTGTATACCTGTATCAAAATATCTCATGTACCCCACAAATATATATACCTGCTATGTACCCACAAAAATTAAAATTAAAAAAATTTAATAAAATAAAACTGCAAGGGCACAAGCTTGTGCCTATCACACCAAGTGTGCTTACACATGCCTGCTGCATTAGCACAGCCGAGCACAGTTCTTCTGACCTTGGCATCTTTGATTCCTGTAGGGGCTGTTTTATCATCTGCAGTCAGTGACTTTCTGGGGCAATAATGCCAAAACAGTGACGTTTCATCAGCATTATGGACTTATTCCGGTGTCAGATTTCATCAGTGATGACCTCGGCAAACACATCCATGAATTTCTCCACCGCCATGTTATCAGCAGATATTTTATCACCACAAATATTTAAAAATGTAATGCTGTCTTTTCTTAAATTTCTGCAACCAGCCTGTTGAATATTCACAGTTCCCTTTGGTTCATCGTGATAGTTCTTTGCTTGTTTCATTTACCATTAAGTGTCATGTGTTCACTGCAACACTGATGGCCCTACTCTTTCAGTACATTATCAAGATTTTCGTTTTTAAATTTATGCAGTTTTTCTATTTTTCATTAACTTGTGTTTATCACTTTCAGGATAGAACTTAACAGTTTATCCTCTGTTGCTTCAGGTCATATACGGTGGTCATTCCAACACCATACTCTACTGCAAGACATTTCACACTTACACCACCGTCCAGTTTCTCCAGCAGTTTGGCCTTTGGTGCTACAAAAACACAAATGCTTCCTGTTTTCCTTTTTTTTTTTTTTTTTCATTTGGGCTAGAGTCTTGCTCTGTCGCCAGGTTGGAGTGCAATGGCGTGATCTCGGCTCACTGCAGTCTCTGCCTCCTGGGTTCAAGCTATTCTCCTGCCTCAGCCTCCTGCGTAGCTGGGATTACAGGCACACGCCACCACACCCGGCTATTTTTTTTTATTTTTAGTAGAGACGGCGGTTTCACCATGTTGGCCAGGGTAGTCTTGATCTCCTGACCTTGTGATCCACCCTCCTTGGCCTCCCAAAGTGCTGGGATTACAGGCGTGAGCCACTGCGCCTGGCCATTTTTCTTATCAATGTTACCCACAGGGGTTTTTTCAGGCCTCTTTGACATTTTCAACAATACATTTACACCACAGAGCAGAGAATAAGTGAAAATGACAGTCAGTAATGAATGTAGGTCTTGACCTCATGTGGGGTGTTGTGGAGAACCTGCTGTTGGTGCATTCAGCCTACACATCTGCCATTTTATTACCCTTTGTGGACATGCTTGCATGGGGGAATATGTGTGTACCTGGAAAAGATATACTGCAGCTAAAGGGGACTAGGGGACTCTTTTTTCCTTTGGGGAGGCTGAATAAACTGTGTGTTGTGGGCCTGCATTTTGACTGCAACCCGTTACATTAAATCAGATATGGAATTTTCCACTTTGGAGAATCAGTTGACACTCAAAAAGTTTCAAATTTCGAAGCATATTGAATTTGAGATTTTTGGATTAGGGATGCTCAACTTGTAGTACTTTAGCATGCTGGTATACCCTTCAGTGATGAAAGAAGTGGTATCTAAACAATGATGAAAGGAATAACATCTAAACCTTCTTGAATCCTTAGGGATGAAATAGATGAACAGTCCAATAATATCTGTGGAAATCTAGGATTGGGGGAAAATTTCTTAATCTGACCTAATGAACAGAAAATTGACTTGCATGACCATATTGACAAGTCTTAGCCTTTCATCCAATTGTCAATTCTAATTCAGTTTCCAAACCCAGAGCCTCTTCAGTGAAAAGGATGCTGGGACACCTGTAGGAAGAAGGCTATGATAGCACCCTGAGTTAGTGCCATAAATCTTCCTTCTGCCTTTTCCTAAAAGAATTGGAGTCATTTACACCTCCCTACACATCCCAGGGCTTGTTTACTGGCTTAGTGCTAGAATGAGCTATAGAAGACTCAGTTGCAGCCCCTATTGTGAGAATATACCTTGCAAGGTATGGTATGCTCTAGAGTGTGGCTGCATTCTGAACCAGCAGCCCATACATGCTATTTTTCATACAGAAAAGATACATGGGGCCAGGTGTGGTGGCTCATGCCTGTAATCCCAGCACTTTGGGAGGCAAAGGCAGGAAAGACAGGTGGATCAACTGAAGTCAGGAATTTGAGACCAGCCTGGCCAACATGGTGAAGCTCCATCTCTACTAAAAATACAAAAAGTAGCCAGGCATGGTGGCGTGTGCTTGTA
Organism: Homo sapiens; assembly: GCF_000001405.40. Classification (NCBI taxonomy): domain Eukaryota; kingdom Metazoa; phylum Chordata; class Mammalia; order Primates; family Hominidae; genus Homo; species Homo sapiens. Next base: position 112,013,541 of record NC_000004.12, read on the forward strand.
GTCCCAGCTACTGAGGAGGCTGAGGTGGGAGAATTGCTTGAACCCAGGGGGCAGAGATTGCAGTGAGCCGAGATCATGCCACTGCACTCCAGCCTGGGCAACAAAGCAAGACCCCCTCTCAAAAAAAAAAAAAAAGAAAGAAAGAAAGATAAAAGAAAAAAAAAAGAAAAAAAAGATACTTGGATTTATGTTAGGAACCAAACATGCTCCGAGTGATTCACTTTCAAATTTTTTGCTTCTCAAAACTAAAGGTCTCTGAGAACTTTTGGGGAGTCCACAAGGTCAAACTACTTTCACAATTATGCTAAGTTTTTTTTACTTTTACACTATGTTGACGTTTGCACTTGTAGTGGGTAAAATTGTTGGTGCTTTAGCATGAATCAAACCGTACTAGCAGCCCTCATGCTCTTCATGTCCATGCACTCACAATAGCCAGAGAATCCAGCCAGTTTCACTCAGGAACGCATCTGAGGAGTCAGTGCAAACTTAATTGTATTAACTCTTGGCCCATGAGTACACATATTTTTAATATTCTGTGTGATGAAATGGGAAAGATGCATGGAGTGTTTTGACTGCACACCAAAGGACAATGATTCGAGAAAAAACCACTGTGTGGGCCAGGCGCGGTGGCTTAGGCCTGTAATCCCAGCACTTTGGGAGGCCGAGGTGGGTGGATCACAAGGTCAGGAGATTGAGACCATCCTGGCTAACACGGTGAAACCCCGTCTCTACTAAAAATGCAAAAAAAAAATTTAGCTGGGCGTGGTGGGGGGGCGCCTGTAGGTCCCAACTACTCGGGAGGCTGAGGCAGAAGAATGGCGTGAACCCGAGAGGCGGAGCTTGCAGTGAGCTGAGATCGCACCACTGTACTCCAGCCTGGGCAACAGAGCGAGACTCCGTCTCAAAAAAAAAAAAAAAAAAAAAAAAAACCTACTGTGTGATTATTTGAGTTGTAAGCTGAACTAGCCATTTTTACTTTTTAAAAAAAAGATTGAAAGACAAACTAAAGCTATTCATATTGAGATTTGGAAAATATTTTTCTTGAAAATGAACAAAGAGAGCTTATCACTTCAAGAAAACATCTGACTTTATATATGGCCAATGATAAAACTTATTTTCAGGAGAATTTCAAAGTCTGAAAAACTTTCATTCATAACTGTGAGCTTCACAGCTTTCTAAAACTTGAAGACTTCTGTTTGGGTCAGTGGTAATATTAATGTATATGAATTTTTAATATTGTATAATGAAATGCATCAACTTTAGGAAAATCAGAATAACTCACAGAACAAATATTTTTCAAATGACCAATGCATAAACATTACAAAATCATAAAAGATCCATTAAAAATGCAAGACAGACCAATGAATTTTAATGTTACAGAGCCCTAAAAGTTTACTGGGGTGGTGTCAGATTCCACAGTGCAACCAACCCATAAAAAACTACAACTTCTTAAGTATTAGTGTGTATCAAAAAGAATATCCACAGTTATATGAAAAAGCTAGAAAAATGCCCTCTCTTTTTCCATTTACATTTCTGTGTGAGGCTGGACTTTCTACATATACTTCTCCCAAAAAAAATCCCAATAAAGTAAATGTAGAACCCCAACTATCTTCTATTAAGCAAGACATTATAGATACTTGTAAGCATGTAAAACAATGCCACTCTTCTCCTCTATAGTTACTTTTCATTAAAAATATGTTCTATTCAATTAGAACACATGGATACAGGGAGGGGAACAACACACACTGGGGCCAGTTGGGGGCTGGAGGGCGAGGGGAGGGAACCTAGAGGATGTCAGTAGGTACAGTGAACCACCACGGCACACGTATACCTGTATAACAAACTGGCACATTCTGCACATGGATCCCGGAACTTAAAGTAAAATTTTTAAAAAATGTTCTACATGTTAACATGTAATGAGTTTATTATCATTATTTTTAAGAAAGTAATAAATAAATGTCAAAACTGTCATATGCTTAATTTCAAATATGATAAATACCAATAGCTGTACCTTATTAAAACAAATTCTCTTTGAGAAACTTGATATTTTTTAAAAGTATAAAGAAGTCCTGAGACCAAAAGTTTGAGAACTAATGAAACTTAAGACTCTTTCTCTTTTCTTTTTCTTCCATAATTAAATGTTGTTTAATAGTTCCTGAAAGTCTATGGCTGACAAGTATGATGAAAACAAGGATTTATAAAATAATTGTAAATTTTTATATAAATTGAAATGTAATTCAATAAGTATTCTTATGTTTATTTTTATAAGTCATTTTTACAGTTACTGCTTTGTCAAAACTAATATTTCCATTAAAAAAAGTTGAGGTATCTTCTAATAAGTTCCTTGAAATGAACTTTTCCTTGAAAATCATCTCTTTTTTAACTATAGGCATATTAAGCTAAAAATGTCCTCTCTTCATTTGGGCTTCACACATATGCAATTAATCTTCCCTCAGCTGAAGACATTTAGCGGCTTTAATGTCTCCTCACAAATCAATACTTTAGTTCTCTTTATCACTGTTATTTCTCCTTTCTGGATTTCCTCCACGTTTCTTTTCTAAGAATTCACAAAACTGCAATGTGATCTCCAGTGATGGCCTCTCCACCCTGTGGATGGGAGCTACCTGTTGCCCGCTTGCCTGATGTAAAGCCCAAAATAGCCTGGATATCTCACCCATCATTGCTGGATTTTATCTGATTTTTTTTTGTCCTCAGTCACCTTGAGATTTCTAAAGGATCTATTGGCTTCCAGATTGTTCTTTCCTACTAACTTTTTTGAATTGCAGATCAATTTCCCACATTTCAAGTGAAATACCCATAAAGATGATCTTGTCAACATTGTCAGTTTTGTAAAATAATAGGAGAGCTACACTAAAAAGAAAGTTGAGTAAGAACAAAAATAACATTCAACCACAATAATTATATGTGCATGCCTTCACACAAGTTTCAAAGTTTTGAAAGATAATGATTTTTAGTCATTTAAGTTTAGGCATCAAAAGTAACATATACAGTCCTTTGGTCCAAATATCCGATCTTCCTTATCATCAGGTTACATCAATCTTTCCAGCATTTCATTATTTTCCTTTATTACTTATTGCTATTGTGTTTTTTATCAAAGGAAAGTACATTTTAAAAGTTGTTTTTTAAAGGAAAAAGATCATATATTTTATATGAAATATTTGTTTTCTTTCACATAGTAGGACTCAGAAGGTGTCTTTAGAGCCTTGACACTTTTCCATCTACTGGGTTGTAAAATTTTCATATTCTTAGCCTCTCGGGAAAGCAATCACTATTTAGCAGATATAAGCCAGGAGTCACCCAAATTCAAAAACTGCTGGATAATTAATAGAAAAAAAACCTACGCATTTATAGATTTTTTTTCTGAAGACACTGTGAAAGAAAATATAGGGAAAAAAAGTTAGATTAAGACTTTTTTTCCTTAAATCATATTCTTCTAATTATTTCTGAGATGTATTTTATAAAATGTTTGAGAAGAAATGAACTGAGAATTAGACTGCAGAGATTACCACCACACTCCACAAACAAGATAAATTGTGTAACCATATCTGGCATCTATTTGTGCTTTCGAACATCAGTCAGTCAAATGCATTGGGTGTTATGATGATCTGAGCACTATTCCAAGTTCCAGGAAAGATAAAGTTATTTTCAAGAAGCTGGTATTTATATATTTACTTAGTAAACTTGGTGTTGTTGCTAATTAGAAGCTAATGAAAATAAGAAAAAAAATCCCTATGTATTCTAAATCCCTTTAAAAGATAACTGGAAAACTTTAATTAAGAAGGCTAAGGAGATTCTGGTTTAAAATACTCCTTATTCATATTGAATATTCCCAGAAAATATGTTTTATTTTTAAGGTACTATCTTTAAAAACTTCACTCCTTTTCTTAAACAAAGAAATAATTGATGGCTATCATTTTGTGAGGGTTATTAATTTGGTGATGTAGCTGTTTCTCTTGGTTTTTCAGCCTTGCTTTGTTAGTCTTAATGAGCATTAGGAAACTTCAGATAAGCATAATTTTGTTCCCTTTGACTTTCAAAATAACAATACATAACGTAGAACTTTGCAGATTTTACTTAGTAAAGCATATCAAAGAGTTTATGATTTATTGCAAGAAAATTCATTTAGGAAATTCATATAGTAAAGTAATTTGTTTCTTAGCAAAAGTTAATGTTATAATATCAAACTTCTAATGACAGTTTTCATCATAATGGCCAAAAAACTATCTCTTGTTATCTTTATGGATTATCTCCATTCAACTTTCCCCTCCAAGAGTGGTATTTTTTAATGTGGTTCATCGACAACATTTTCTCTAGCAATTTTTTGTTTTGTCTGGATTTGATTCTTATTGTTAAATCTCTACAATTCAATGTACATTTATTGAGAGTCTCAAGTGTGCAAGGCTCTGGGCTAAGCACAATTAAATCCCTAAATCCTATTGCAAAATCCTGTTTTGCCTACATCAATGAACCCATTTCAGAGAGTAAATAACTGCAATAACCTTATAATTGGTCCCCATAACTTCAATTTATCCTTCTTTCAATGCCACTTGAAAAGTATAGCCAGATGAATTGCAGAACAGAAATTTAATAACAACTCTGCTCAAAAGAAATAAGAGGCTCCACATTTCCAAAGTAAGTTCACATATTGTTTTTAGCCATGGAACCCTTTGTTTAAATGAAATATTTGAAAATAACCCAATACACGAAACAGATGAAAGCAAAGTTCCTTGGGTTAGGGTAGGAAAGGGAGCAGATACCACAGACTGAAAGGATAGACTTTAGGCTTCTTATCCTGTATTAAAAGTGTTCAGGCCGGCACAGTGGCTCATGCCTGTAATCCCAGCACTGTGGGAGCCCAAGGCGGGCAGATCACAAGGTCAAAAGATCAAGACCATCCTGGCCAACATGATGAAACCCTGTCTCTACTAAAAATACAAAAACTAGCTAAGCATGGTGGCACGTGCCTATAGTCCCAGCTACTCGGGAGGCTGAGGCAGGAGAATTGCTTGAACCCAGGAGGCGGAGGTTGTAGTGAGCTGAGATTATGCCACTGCTGCACTCCAGCCTGGCAATAGAGTGAAACTCCATCTCAAAAAAAAAAAAAAAAAAAAAAAAGTGTTCCACAGGCCAGCCTGTAATCCCAGCACTTTGGGAGGCCGAAGTGGGCAGATCACCTGAGGTCGGGAGTTCAAGACCAGCCTGGCCAACATGGTGAAACCCCATCTCTACTAAAAATACAAAAAATTAGCTGAGCATGGTGGCACATGCCTGTAATCCCAGCTACTTGGGAGGCTGAGGCAGGAGAATCACTTGAACCCAGGAGGCGGAGGCTGCAGTGAGCTGAGATCGGACCACTGTACTCCAGCCTGGGTGAAAGAGTGAGAATCCATCCCCCAAAAAAAAAGGAAAGAAAAAAGAAAAGAAAAGGAGTATTCCACAAGATAATATCCGTATTCCTTAACTACTATGCTCCTCACACTATCCCACTCTATCCCATTCCTGAAACTTCTGGATCATGAAGACATTTTGATCCTTTTTCTCTCAAATACATTGCTACATCTGTCACCTTTGTTTACGCTATTTATCCTAAATGAAAGACACCTTTCTCCCACAACTTTGACCACTGAAGCAATTTCTAACCATTATTTGAGGCCTAGTAAAGTTTTGCCTGTTTTCAAACCTCTGTGAATGCCATGAGAAGTAATGAATATTTTCTCCTGTGTTTATCACATAGACTGCCATTTAGCAATGTTAGATCATTCTATGTAGTTCTTATGTAGTTCTATGTAGTTCTAATGTAGTTTAAGGCTGTTTGTCCAAGATTTCCTAATTGACTCATAAAATATCCACCTAGTTAGATGATTCCTAGGCAACTTCCAATCCTGTTTTTCCTGTGGTTAGAGATCTGTCAGATCATTGTCAGTCTCAAAGCTTTAGTCTCTTTCTTAGTTATCTATTGCTGCATAAAAATGTACCACAAATTTAGCAGTTTAAAACAACACACACTTATTATCTCACAGTTTCTGTAGATCTGTAGATGCAATTTCTGCAGACAGCTTAGCTAGGTCCTCTGCTTAGGGTTTCACAAGATGGAAATCAACATTATCAGCCAGGGCTGTGGTCTTACGTGAGGCTTGGCTGAGGAAGGACCCACTTCCAAGCTCACACAGTTATTGGCAAAATTCAGTTCCTTACAGGTGTTTGGGTCAGGGTGTCCCCACTTCCTGCTGTCTGTTGGCCAGATGCCAACCTCAGTTTCCCGACACATGACCCTCTACACGGGCAGCTTGCAACATGGCCACTCGCTTCATCAAATTTAGCAAAGGACAGGGAATCTGCTTGTCAGACATGCATTACAGTCTTATGAAACATCTTATGCTTATGAGCACATACAGATAATCACAGACATCTTGTCACCTGTGCTATATTCTACATGCCTAGAAGCAAATCCCAGTTTCTGCCCACACTCAAGGAGAGGAGACAGGGGACTACACGAAGGCATGGGGATCATAGAAGCCACAAAAGGCTGTCTGCTAGTCTGCTAAAATTACTACGTCAGTGAAGGATGCTTAGAATATGTGAAATCAAGATTTTTAAGTCAGTTCCAGACATCTAAGGACTCTGCCCACACACTAGTAAGAAGTACACATATGTTGCAACATGCTAAGTAGTTTTATCAATAAGTAGTGTTTGGATAGGGAAAAAAATTTTCCTGGGATATATACCAAATACCTGACCAAAATCAGTAGGGCTAATCTGCCTTTGTCTCTATTCAAAAGACTTTCCCAAAGGACTAAATGAGGACAGGACCTAAAGTCCTGGAAACAGTTGAATTTCATGAATGCTACTTACCAATACAACTAGGGTTGAAAAAGGCTGATGTGGGACAGAGTGTAGCACATCACCATCAGTGCCTCACAGGGGCAGGATTACAGACATCCTCTTCCAGAACATCTGAAAAGTCAAAGTTTATTTAAAATTTGGCCAGAAGCAAATTCATAAAGAATGAAGTTCAGATTCTCATAAAGAATGAGAGTCAATGTCAGCCTCAAAGGCTAGAACATCTTCTGTGAGAAGATTTGAGGGACATTCTCAGAAAATAATAGAATGGAAGAACTGTTGCTAAAATTTTATGATGTCAGGCTGTACACATCAAAGTTCTCAATCAGGAAATAGCTTAAGGAAATTAAACAGAACAAGACAAAGAGACAGGTTAGAATATTATCCAAAAATGGAATTAGATTTAAAGTGAGGTCCGAAAATGGGTTTTCTTTGGCATGTCTCAAGCTGGTTCAGAGGAGTCATTGATTCATTCATCCTTAAAGAGACATACACACAACATCTATCTCAACAGGGTACCTTATCCTGGTCAGCTTTCCTATAACTTTCTTGATAAAAGAAGGGATTTGGAAATTTCTCGAAGTAGGAGAGCACTTCAGGAAAGTTACATTAATGTGAGGTCAACACAGTTAATCAGATATTTTTCTAAAAACATATTCTAACGGCTTAAATATTTTATACTATTTCTCTCTACAACATAATTTTTTAGGTTTATATCAAGGTTTCCAGATTCCATTAGCATTTTCTAGAATTAAATCTATGCAAAGATTATAAGGTAAAGACTCATCAAATTAAATCTGTGGCTGCTTTCTTAAAGATGTATCCCAAATGACTAGAACAATACTTGGCTTAATAGATGCTCAATAAATATTAGTTTAGTGATCGAAAAAAAATTAGACCTGGAAATGACTTCAAAGGCCTTGGGGTCCAGTTCATGTCTCACTCAGTGTAATCCTCCTCAGCTTTCTAATTGTGAGTCTCTTATATTTGCAGAATATGTTAGAGTTGATAAAGTTTATTCGTATCTATTATTTTATTTTATTTTTACAAAATGTACTATGATCAGTATTAGTATTCTTCACTTAACAGATGAAAAAACAAAGAGACTTCAAAAAGTGAAGTGACATGCCCAAGATAACACAACAAGCTATGGACAGAAGTGGGCTACCCCTTCATGCCAGCCTTGGTCCTTCTCTATTGAATTATAAGTTCTCCCCTTTGCAGGTAAGGGCAGCATAAGCCAAAAACAAAAACAAACAAACAAAAAAAGGCTGAGCAGCAGCAAAACCACCAATTTCTTAGAAAGACTGTCTTTGCACCCTGGCTACAATGTGCCAAGCCACTCTTCACTGGGAAGAGTGCCTGCCCCTCTGTTCTAAAGATTCTGATAAAGACTCAGTGATAATAGTCCACGTTATCTCAGGTCCTCCATTAGCACACTGTCAATTTAAAAAAAGAATGACTGTAGTTGTTTGTCAAGCATTGCTTCTATTAAGACCTTAAACATATGGCAAGAATGGGAAGGAAGAGTAAACGCTTTTACACAGTGACTGCAATATAGTAGGCATTTAATGAATTTTATCTTTAAACAATAGTTAAAAAATTGTCAACTTTGTCAAATATGGGCTTTACAAGGACTGCTTTCACCAACAGTATTCTTCCTTCACCCTTCTCAGAAACTTTGTAGTTTCTTAAGGAAAACAGATCAAAAGTAAAAACCTGTTTTTTTAATTGTGGCAATGGCATGAAATAAAAAAAAAAAAAAGAGCTAAATTTATTCGACTATATTCCAGGTGCCAGCTCCTGGATGTCCCCAAGTCCTCCAAATTATTCATTTGAATCTTTCTTTCACTTATGATAGGAAATCCATCTTTCTGTATCTCTAGGGATTCAGGCTGAGGGGGTAGATTATGTTGATTCTAATAATCTCTGTCCTCCAGTTACCACTTTGTCATAATTTTCTAACTTTAATGCATGTTGTAAGTTTTCCCTACTATATCTGAGACTACTATGGTATTAATCCCAGAATACCAACAAAATTCAAACAAAGTTTCACTGAAGGTTTAATAGCAACTTAAAAATTAAACATGTATGGTTCCAAAAATACCTTATTATTTTATTTTGCCTTTTTTGAGCTTCATAAAAAAAGTTATCACTTAATACATAATCTTCTGAGACTTGCCTTACTTTATCATGTTTCTAAAATGTATCCATATACTTACAGTTTCAACAACAATGATAATGTACTGGTTCTTAGGCTGGGAGTGAGTTCACAAGTGTTTGATTTGTTATTATGCTTCAAAGTTAAAATCACTATACATTCTTTTCTTTGTATCAGATATTACATTTTAAAAACATTTTAACTAATTATTAGCCATCTTAGTTCTTAAAGTTTCTATAGCCATTAACACCTCCAAGAACTTCTCTCTTCCGATCATCCATGCCATGGATCCCAGTCAAGACAGTTACCCAACTCCAACTTCCCTCTTTCTCTCCTCTCAATAGCTTTTTTCTAATTGCAGTTCTTAATCCTTCAATTCCTGTTTTCTTTTTAAAGTAATTTTAGAAAAAGTACTAATTTTTCTAAGAAGAAAAATTATTCAACACTAACTTGTAATAAACAACCCCAATGTCAGAGTGGCTTAATACAATAATACAACACTCTTGTTCATATGAAATCCAGAGCTCAAGTTCCTGGCCAAGAGATCTCTTTAACAACTCCTCCAAGTGATCAACTCAGGATTCAGGCTCTTTCCATTGTGTGTTCCACCATCTCGAAGGCCTTCTCTTCCTGCCATGTGGTTGAAGGAGCAAAGAAGATCACACAGAGACTTTTAATGGCCATGCCTGGAAGTGCTATACGTCACTTCCACTCACTTTCCATCTGTAGAGCTCAGTGACACAGTCCACCCACACTCCAGGAGCTACTGGGAAATATATGTCTTCCTGTGTGCCCAGGAAAAAAATAAAATAGTTTGGTGAACTCAGAGTATTGTTTCTGGTCCTCTTTTGCTTTTCCAGCCTGTTTGGGCTATTGAGGAAATGGGAAGACAGAGGGTGGGAAGTGTTTTTATATCTTTCACAAGCAAATATAATATCATGCTGTTTTGTATACAAAAACCAACCTCTTTGTATGAATGAATCTGCTACAACACTATAATTTTGCAATAACAGAAGGTTTCCCTAGCAACACTTCTCTTTGGCAATGGCCTTCTTTATCTTGGGAAAGGGAAAGAGAATGACAAAGTCAACAGAGGTTCTGAACTCATTTATTGTTTTCAATTTATCTTGGACCCAGTTGCCTTAAAAACCAGGAGAGAGGGTTTTAAGAGAGAAAAAGGCAACACGAATCACAAAAAGCTTGGTTTTGCATATAAAGAGCCAAAGTCTGGAAGACTGACATCCTGAAGTGTATGCCATAAGCCTTAGACTGAGGAAAACTGCATCGTGAAAGACAAGCAATTTCTCCAACACAAAGGATACTATATGTCAGCCAGTTGTGGGAAAGGAAGAATCAAGGGTGACCTACTAGAGTCTAAATAGAGACTATGCCTGAGAAAAAGGCCTCATGCTCCATCTCTCTGGGCTAAGTAATGATTAGGAGGAATGACTGGAGGGTGGGAGACATCTCTGCATATACTGATGAAAATCTGAGATAGCGTCTCAGATTCCTTCTCAATGATCTTTCTGTTCTGGGATCAATCCCAGATAAGTTTGAAGAGAGAGATCCCAGAACAGAAGGATAATTGCCTAGCTATTAGGAGTATAACTCAGAAGTTGAGTAGAGAAGTCCTCCATCCCACATTGGATCTGAAATAGCAGTGGCTGAAAGGGGTGACTAGGCAGATGGACCTGAGAGCTTCCTCAGAGAGCCCCAGCACTCCAGATGATGTGGAGTGCCACATGTGAAAGCAGCAGCCAGCTTTCCTCACAACTTTAGAGGAAGTCAGACAAGACTGGGATTCAAAACCCCAAAAAGGCCGTGCAGTGGGGATAAGAATTAGAGGCCAAGATAAAGTGTGGATTCAGCAGCAGGGACAGAGGCCAATGCCCAAGACCAGGAGAAATCAGTGACACCTGGGTTGGGGCCAGGAGGCTCAGCAGGCCAGGTGGCTGGCTCCCCATGCCAGAAAGAAACACAAGACAAGCACCATCACCACCCGCCAGGATGGTCAGGATTGCAGAATCATAATTAACTAAGTTGTTACCCAAAAGAGACTTAAAGTTTAACTGCAAATGCTAGTTACTTTAAATTGACAATAATGAGTTGGTCCTCATCAACAGAAAATGAGGACTTGAGTAAGCTTAAGTTACCTTTTTTTTCACAGTTAAGTTGTAACTTGTATCCATTTACAACTATATCTCTGCTCTAAACATTTTCCTGATGGTGCACTGTGTTTTAGGCTCTGCGCTAGGTGTTAGGTATACAAAGATAAATATGAACTCCTTTTATAGTCTCATAGTGGAGCAGGTATGTTAGCTAGGCTATAGGACCTGCTATATCATAATATTTGTATTAGGATACAAATATCTTAAATAACAGGGGCTTGTCATCATCACTGGCCATTAGAGAAATGCAAATCAAAACCACAATGAGATACCATCTCACACCAGTCAGAATGGTAATTACTAAAAAGTCAGGAAACAACAGATGCTGGAGAGGATGTGGAGAAATAGAGATGCTTTTACACTGTTGGTGGGAGTGTAAATTAGTTCAACCATTGTGGAAGACAGTGTGGCGATTCCTCAAGGATCTAGAATCAGAAATACCATTTGACCCAGCAATACCATTACTGGGTATATACCCAAAGGATTATAAATCATTCTACTGTAAAGACACATGCACATGTATATTTATAGCAGCACTGTTCACAATAGCAAAGACTTGGAACCAACCCAAATGCCCATCAATGATGGACTGGATAAAGAAAATGTGGCATATATACACCATGAAATACTATGCAGCCATAAAAAAGAATGAGTTCATGTCCTTTGCAGGGACATGGATGAAGCTGGAAACCATCATTCTCAGCAAACTAACACAGGAACAGAGAACCAAATACCACATGTTCTCACTCATAAGTGGGAGTCGAACAATGAGAGCACATGGACACAGGCAAGGGAACGTCACACATCAGGGCCTGTCAGGGGCTGGGGGGCAAGGGGAGAGAGAGCAATTAGGACAAATAAGTAATGCATGTGGGGCTTAAAACCTACACGATGGGTTGATAGGTGCAGCAAACCACCACGTATACCTTTGTAATAAACCTGCACATTCTGCACATGTATACCAGAACTTAAAGTAAAATAAAATAATAATAATAATAACAGGGGCTTAAACAATAAAGAAGTGTATCTTTATCACACGGCAGTCTTACTGTAAGCAGTCCAGGGCACATACGATAACCCGTACTAGAAGGGACCAAGGCCTCTTCTGCCTTACTGGTCTGCCATCCTGGTGTGTTGCATACCTCTTTATTGTCAAAAATGGCTCATTCTTCAGAAAGAATAGTTAATGGATACTGGGCTTAATACCTAGGGGATGGGATGATCTGTGCAGCAAACCACCATGGCACACATTTACCTATGAAATGAACCTGCATATCCTGCATGCGTACCCCTGAACTTAAAATAAAAGTTGGAAAAAAAAAACGGTCTGTGCTCACCAAAAAATAAAATTATTTCACCAAAAAAGGCTCATTGTACCCACATTCCTGTCAGCAGGGAGGGGAAAGGGATAAGGCAAGGGCAAACCCTTTATTTAAATCACATGTTCCAGAAATTGCTTACACTGTTCTGTGCACAAACCACTGGCAAAGAACTCAGTCACATGGCCATACCGCATAGACAGATTGGAAAGTGTAGCTCTCAGTAGGGCAACCATATGCCCTAATTAAATCATTTTACTACTCAAGGAATGACTAGACATTGAAAGAAAACTGTAGCATCTGCTTTAGTCTGTTCCTCTGACTTTTTAAATATTCATGCTATGTGACCCAGCAAAGGAAAGAAACTAACTTCTAAAGGGAAAATAGAGGAAAGTATGAAGAGATGAGACAGCGTGCTGATCAGAGAGGCCTTCAGAGAAGAACTGATGTTTGAACTGAGTTTCATAAGGTGAGTAGAAGCTCACTAAGAGGACTGAGAAGAGTAAGGGTGTTTAAGGTGAAGGGAAATGAAAATCATGTGCAATATCACAGAAGTGTGAACTTTGTTGTTTTATTTAGGAAATTTTAGATAGTTCTAAAAGGCCAAGATGAGATTGGCTAGGTAAGAAGAAATCAGATAATAAATAGCCTTAAATGGCCAGCAAGGCATTTGGCCATTGTTCTACAGGTAAATGGAAAATGCTGATGAAATTTAAGTAGGGAAGTGACATAATCATGTTTATAGAGTTAAAAGATTACTCTTGAGACAATGCAGAGGATAGACAAGACTGAAGACTGGGAGAAGATTTAGAAGGCAGCTGAGATTGTACAAAAACAAGATTACAAGGGTATTAAGGCAATACACATAAGAAATAAGAGCTTTAGGTAACAGATTCTGAAGGACTTTGTAATTAACTGACAGCAGAAGTGAAGAGGCAGGAAGATTATTGGATGCTTGGACTGATACACTTTAAAATAGAGAATTCAAGATGAGATCATGGATGTGTTGAATTTGAAGGTACTATGGATACTAAGAAACACTCAAATGAAAAATGACCAATAATCATACAAAAATAAGGACCGTGAATTCAGGAGGGAGGTCTAAAATGGAAATGTGTGTTTGGGAGTCATCAGTGTGATGTGGCAGTGGAAACATTTGATATCAATGAAGATACATTGCTTGAGAAGAGAAGAACTTGAGCAAGAACAATATTGCTTAGTGTGCAATGCCAAGCGGTATTATGGAACCCATAAGCATTTCTGAATGTCAGATTTGAGGATTGTGATCCAAACAGGCAGTTATTGTGGTCAGATACATCAGAAGTGACTATAATCAAGAGATGACAGTGAATCGGTAAGGAAAAGAGACCCTCTTGCTATCTGTCAAAGGAGGAGGGAGAGAACTTTAAAATATAATGAATATAATAGTGTGAGTTAGAAGATCTAGGTGTAAATCTCAATTTGTTCCTCACTGGCAATTTGACCTTGGGCACAGAGGAAACGGATCTTAAAAGAAAAAGAAGAATCATATGCAGAAAGAAACAATAACAAGAAATTGAAAGAAAACACTGCCTGTATTTCCAACTTGTTCTCAATTTCTGATCTTTCTTAGAATTTCTTCATTCTTTTGTTTGATTTTAATTAAATATCATTCTAATTTATAATAGAGTTCTTTTTTCCTACTAGTCCAGAGTGAATTGACTTGTTTCTTGCAGCAATATCCTAATATATGGATGCAACATCTTTTTAGAAAGAGAAATTTTCTTTTCTCCTGCATGAATGTGTGGTTTGTCTTAGTCCAAGTCTGCTCTTTTGGATTCATGGCAAGAGAAAAAGAAATGTGAAGAGGAAAAGAGATGGAAAAATGAACCCCTACTGGTAGCAGAAATGGTTAATTACTGTATTAGTCTGTTTTCACTCTGCTGATAGAGACTGGGTAATTTATTAAAAAAATAAAAATAAAAGAGGTTTAATGGACTCACAGTTCCACCTGGCTGGGGAAGCCTCACAATCATGGTAGAAGGCAAAAGACACATCTTACATGGTGGCAAACAAGAGAAAGAATGAGAACCAAGCGAAAGGGGTTTCCTCTTATAAAACCATCAGATCTCTTGAGACTTGTTCACTAGAACAGTATAGGGGAAACCACCCCCATGATTCAATTATTTCCCACCGGGTCCCCTCCACAACATGTGGGAATTATGGGAGCTACAATTCAAGATGAGATTTGGGTGCAGACACAGACAAACAATATCAGTTACCATCCCCATATCTATTACTCCTTTTTTCTCAATGGGAAAACCCACAATTTTAATTGCTAATTGGTTGAAAGCACTTGTCAGTCTCCCTTGCAGCTAGGCATGACATGTGTCTAAGTTCTGGCTGATAAGATAAAGTCAAAGGTGACATGGGGCATCCTAGAAGACTGTTGAAAGAACACTAACTCACATTTGAAAAACAAAACAGAACACCTGTTTGTCGTTTCTCCCTTCCTCCTACCTGCATTCCAGAATGCTGATGGGAGGGTAGAATTTCCAACAGCCATTTTGGACCAAGAGGTAACCTTGAGAATGAAAGCCATTCATAGAATGGCGAAATACAATAGCAGAAGGAGCCCAGGTCTCTGTTGACCATAGAGTCCCCATAAAAGTCCTAGACTCTCTTATCTGTGTTTCTCTCACAGATAACAAGACAGAAGAGAAATAAACTTCTATCTCATTTAAGGTATTTGGGGTTTGCTCTATATGCAGCTAGTAGAAAAATTATATTGCAGCAGATACTAGAGAAAATTGATATGCCTTTGTATAATCTATACAACTCTCATTCCTAATATTTCTATTGTATTTATCAGTTCTAAAACTGAAAAATTATTTAAGAATTCATCTTCCTTATATTTATTTTCAGAAATCAGAATGATGTGGCAGAAAAAAAATCAGCCTGAAAATTAAGAAAACTATATTTTGATTCTAAATAGTTATATTACTTTATTAAGTAATAACACTTCAAGTGCTTTTTCATCTTTAACATAAGAGATTTGAACCAGATAAACTCTAAGGTCTTTTCAGTTGCAAAACTCTTCTGTTTCTATATTTCTTGCTTTCTTCATGGGATTATTGAAAAGACCCAAATGTATAATTTTTATTTAGCAAATAGCACTGTGCCATGCTCTTTGCAAATATTAATTTAATCATCATAGCTGACCAAGGAGGTAGGTACCACCCATTTTAAAGATAAGCAAACTGAGAAATAAATTAAGTAACTCTCCCAAAGCACATAGCTTACACTTGGCCAAACCTGGATTCAAACCCAGGAAGTTTGACTGGGTTTCTGATCTTAACACTACCCCACCCTACCTCAAATAAACAGAACAGCAAATAAATTCTACTTAACTAAGTGACTATAGTCACTTCAGTACAATGACTCAAGGAACCTAACAGGACATGGTAATTTTTCTTATTTTCAGAGAAATCCAAACATGATTTCTCCCAAACCTTAAAACACAGTATTGATGGGAAGCTCATAGTGCAACCATAACTTCAGAAGGGTGTTTGGGGTGTGCTGTGGACTAGAATAGAATGTACTATTTCCTTATGAAGTAGGACTTGAGAAATTTTCTCAGCATCGCCTGGGGAAAGATATTATTCTTTCCAATAAATCCAATTTTTATTTTAAATCGATACATGAATAAATAAGCCATTGCCTATCGTTTCAAGCTGAGGCACAGCATGGATCTTGCCACTGCGGTGCGGCAGATGGGCTGCGCTCTGGCATGCCTAATGCTCAGCTTCCGTCCGTCAGTGGCTCCAGCCACTGTTCCTCCACGCTTCCCTGGCATGCGAGTATTAGGTTTCACACAGAAATGCAAAAAAAAATGCCTTTAAGCTCATTTCTACATGAAATACAATATATTCGCCAGATAAGCTGGACCCTCATATTAATCATAAATCAATTATGTTTACCCTTAGCCAAGAAAGTACTAAAATGTTCTTCCCTCATTTTGAAACCTAATATGATATTCACAGTAATTATGCTGGCTTTCATATGAATCATTGTCTCATTCTGTAATTGTTAGTACATGGCTGATTCATTTTCTGCCTTATAGTATTTGAAATGATCATTCCACTTGTGGTAGGATTTGGGGATTTATTGAAGTAAATCCTTTTACTCATTAGACTTTCCTTTTTTGTATCCCATCTTCAGTCTTTTTGTTGAGATTTTACACCAAAGTTTTCTAAAACCTGTAGCAAGTAGGAGAACAACATGTTAAATCCTACTGAAGCTGGCAAAGCCATACTAATGGATGGCAAAGTCTCTCTCCACCACTTTTCCTTGATCTTGTCCTTCCCTCCAGAGTCACACCACACCCACCCCCTTGTTTCAATTGTCCCTTTCATGCCTCTGAAAATACAATCACGTTAATATTATGTGCTGAAACACTTTTAAAATATGAAAGTATTTCAGGTTACTATTCAAATATGCACAAATAAATATGAGGTTTTTTCTGGGTATCATATACATCAATTTTTGGGAAGAGCACATTTAAAGACAGATGTCTGCTGTCCTGGCACCTCCAATATCACATTATTTTATGCATATTAAGAAGGTGTCATGGAATCGTCTCTGGTTCAGACCCTCTGGAATGTGAGGCATGGTCTTGGGATTGTGCCCTGCTGCCCTTTCTACATTAAATGCTAAACTGTCAGAGTGAGAGGAAACAGGTGGACCCAGTACAACGAGGGCCATCTGACTGAGACTGCCAACCTTCAGGTGGAACGTAGGAAATCAGAAATCAGCAGCCTTTCTGGACACTGTTATCACTATAAGAAACCATAATAATAAAAATGGGGGACTTAACATTGTAGATATTAGTAATGATCACTGCAATAAGCAACTCCTTTCCATGGACGCAGTCTCAAGTCCATGATGGCTTTACTTTAGGAGGGCTATTTATGCTATCCTCTATTTCAGAACTATATTTTGCTAGAAAAATGATTAAAGCTTATTCTCTTTTTGCATTTTGAAGTATTGGGCTTTTCATTTTAAAGTGTTTGATATGAAATTTCATCTTTATAATGAGAGTAGCTATTTATTGATTGCTTACAATGCTGAGGACACTGTGCTAAGAACTTTATATTCACAAACCTATTTGAGCCTTAAAACAACCCTTCAGGATAAGTATTATCAACTATTCTTCTTTATAGATGAAGCAATAAAACATCATATAACAAGTAGGGGAAAATCCACATCTCAAACCTTAGGCTTTGGGACTCCAAAGCCTATGTTCTTAACCACCACCTTACCCCATCTTGCCTTTGCAATCATGTATGGATTGCCAAAGAGCTATGCCCAGTTATTCACCACATTTTTTCAATATAAAATAAGTTCATCATCTAATAAGAAGATCATGATTTCTTTTCAGCTATTTAAGTGCTATAAATTCTCTTTATTTGCTCATTAGCTGGTATATCTTATCAGCTAATGGCAAAATGTAAAACCAGCTGGTTTTTAGAACCTTTCTTTTGCTTTCATTCTCAATGCTCCCTGAGTTGTTTGGTTGGTTGGTTGTATTTGTTATAAAGGAGTTAAGAGTAAGTACAAAGCAATGACAACATTGTCAAAAAGCAGAATTTGTTTTAAATTGTTCTCAACCATTTTCTTTATCAACATATACATCGCCACATAAAAAATCCAAAATTAGTTGGATTTTTACACTGGCTGGAGGTAGTCCTTAATTTTGTAAAATGGCTGGTTTTATAAACTGCAGAATGATACACTTCTGTGCAACAGAGCAGCCGAAGTCTGAAAACAAACTATTTGGTAGTCAAACCCTCCCCCATTCTAGGCTTCTTATATGGAGCTGCCATGACATCTAGTGGCCAAAATTTAGGGAAGCTATTCTTTATCCATAAAGCACACAGGATTTCTAATTTAGAAGCATATTGAAAATCTCACATAGAAAATGAAATTGTCGGTAAATACAGTGCTTCAAAGTTTACGACTATTACGTGAATTGTTGGTTTATCCTTCCTACATTACTTAGATATTTTAAAATATTTATCATAATGAATTTACACCAAAGCCTTGGTTTATTCTGAGGTGAGTATGTGAATGCATCATAGGATTTGATTCTTTGTGTTTTACTTCTGTAAGAGTAACAACAATTCGATATCAATGATTAAATCAACTTTACATTTTAAATGACAGTCTAAGTAAATGAGTAATAACTTTATATTATCTCAAATTAAAGTGAAACAACTGACATACAAGTCAATTCCCTGCACCTTTTTGCTGAGTTAATGGGATTTCTTTTCTAAAGAAGAAATATTTAATGTTATTAAAGGAAGAAATAGAAGATTGGAAGTCAATTTTTAAAGCAAAATAACTAAAAATGAACAGAGTATAGTTGTCTTCAGCAGATTTTTTTTAAAATTCCAAAGGTCTGTTTCTAGTAGATTTTCTGTGGTTTAAGCTAAAATAAATAGTTCGTGGAAACCACAATATACAAATGATCAGAAATAATTTTTAAACTCTTTTTCTAATGAGTTTTTTAGTCTAAGAAACACCAAAATAACAGCCCGAGACAGAGACTGATGCATCCATGGTTTATGAAAGCTATAATCACAGGAGTGGGGGACAGGAAGGGGCAGGAGAGACAAGAATGGATACAGAAGGAGGGGCAGCCAATACAACGATGCAATATAGAATTGGCCACTCCTGGATGCAACTGATTCCTGGATCTACAGGACCTTCTGAGAAAACTTATGGACTGTACCGTATCTCCAAATCACTCTCTGGAAGGATGCAAGGGTGGAGCATTTCCTGTCCATTTTTATGCCATATTGGTCAAGGTCTGTCCCATGGGTCATAAACTCACCCACACAGGGAGGCTGTTCATATGTGTTCAAGAATCCAAGGCTTCTGGTGTCAGAGAAGCTTTATATGGACTGAGGCAAGGCACTTCCAGTTGTACCTACATAAAACAGGTCAAAATCTGTGCACAGGCCGGGCACAGTGGCTCATGCCTGTAAACCCAGCGCTTTGGGAGGCCAAGGCGGGCAGATGACCTGAGGTCCAGAGTTCGAGACCAGCCTGGCCAACATGGTGAAACCCGGTCACTACTAAAAATATAAACATTAGCTGGGCATGGTAGTGCATGCCTGTAATCCCAGCTTCTCGGGAGGCTGAGGCAGGAGAATTGCTTGAACCTGGGAGGCAGAGGTTGCAGCCAGCCAAGATCACACTGCTGCACTCCAGCCTGGGCAACAAAGGGAGATGCTGTCTCAAAAAAAAAAAAACAAAAATCTGTTCATAACTGTTGTCTGCAGCAATGGCTGAAATGAAAGATGTGGCCAAGCGGATCTGCAGTGCTACACAAGAAACATTCAATAAATGTGCATGCAATTATACTATCTGTGTTACATTAATAACAAAATAGGTCATATCAAGTTCATTGATATGGATATTTTTATATTTAATAAACATTACTAAGTATGTTGATTAAATGATATAATTATCACCCTGGCCAATGCACAGCAGAAGTCAAAATTCCAAAGGGATCTTGAAGCAGCAGTAAAATCTATTCATCTTGATTGGCAATTATTTTAGTGATGTTAGTCTAAACAGTGTTCACAGTATGAATTGTTAGGTTGAAATATTTTAATCTTGTGAAAAAAGCAACATTTAAAATCAATTATCTCGATGTGAAATCCTGATACGATGGGAATAACTTGGCTCCTGGGAAGAAAATCTGTTAAGCTTTCATAGAAGCCCCAAGAGCAGATGTTTTACAGAAAGAAGAGAAACATAAAAGAAAATGAGAGTGGGAAATAGAAGAAAACTAAAATCCTACCTCATATCATGAAAAAATTTCCCAAAAGATAAATTTAGATTTTGTCCATCAAAGGGAAATTGGAAGTTCTACTTTTAATTTTGTATGTCCTTGTAGTACTCAAACTGAGCATTGTCATCGTCAAAAAAGTAAAGCTTTTGTGGATCCTTCATGACTGCTATCAAATCTAATTCAAGATGGATCAAAGACTCAAATGTGAGAAATAAAATCATTACCTCCCTTGAAGACAACATAGGTGAATTTTTAAATAATCTTTAGGATGATAAACGCTTTTTTACAGCCAGAAATATTAAAAGATGAGTATATTTTTACTTAAGTGGTAAAACCTTACATGGTACAAAGAAATGCCAGACAAAAAAGCCAAAATACTTGTAGCATGCAGGACAGATAAGTAGTTAATATCTGTCATATTTTAAAAGTTCCCTATCAAATCACTAAATAAATGATGGAACATCATAACGAAGTAGATCAAAGAACTTGAATATACAATTGAAGAGAGAAAAAGTAAAATATTAGATAACATTAAAATATATCAATAGCTAACATTTACTGAGAATGAGTTTACCAGGAAATGTTGTAAGAGCTTTATGTGTATTAATTAATTTAATTTTCACAATTCTATGAGGTCAGTATTATTATTATTACCATTTCCCAGATGACTAATCTGTGACATAGAGAGGTTAAATAATTAGCACAAAGTCAAAAAGCTGGTAAGTGATAAAGCCAGAATATAAACTCACATGGTCACACTCCACAGCTTTGGCTCCTAATCAAATGCATACATTCATTATTAATCCAAAACTCAAATACAAACAATGATTTACTGCTTTCCACCTAGCCAAATGATAAAGATCTTAAAGATCAGTGCTATGTGGAAACTCATAAATTGTTAATAGGAGTGTCAATTGATACAATCTTTTTGGAGGTCAGTGTAATGATATGCATCAATATTAAATGCCTTCTTTTTAACTCAGACATCCTTCCTCCAACAGATTCCAAATAGATCCTAAGGAGATAAAGAATCAAACATACAAAAATGTAGGAACAAAAACGTCCTTCAAAGCATGATTAATAATAGGAGCAGGAAAGAAATGGAAATAAGCACAATGTCATCAGTGAAATAGTTGTTAAACAAATTAAAGTATATCTATACCATGAACAAATATATAGACTTAAAAATGAGTGATATATTGACAAACCATATATCTCATAAGGGGTTAATCTGCAAAATATACAAGGAACTCCTACAACTCAATAGTAAAAACTCAAAACTCAACTTAAAAATGGTCTAAGGACTTCTCCAAAGAAGTCATACAGATGGCCAACAGGCATATGAAAAAATCCTCAACATCACTAGTCATCAGGGAAATGCAAATCCAAATCACAATGAAACATCACCTCATACCTGTCAGGGTGGCTATTATTCTTTTTAAAGAAAGTGTTGGCAAAGATATGGGCAAACAGCAACCCTAACACACTATTGGTGGGAATGCAAATGGTGCAACCGCTATAGAAAATAACACAGAGGATCCTCAAAAAAAATAAAAATAGAACTACCATATGATCCAGCAATAAAATTTCTAAGTATTCATAAAAAAATTGAAATCAGGATTTTGATGAGATGTTGGCACTTCTATGTTCACTGCAGCACCATTCACAATAGATGAGATGTAGAAACAACCTAAACGTCCATTGACAGGTGAATGTATAAAGAAAATGTGTAAGGTACATATAGTGCAATACTATTCAGCCCATTAAAAAGAAGCAAATTCTGCAATATGTGACACCATGGATGAACCTTGAAGACATTATGCTAAATGATATAAGCCAGACATAGAAAGATAACTACTGCATGATTCCACCTATGTGAAGTATCTGAAATAGTTAATTCAGAGAATCAAAGAGTGGAATGGCGTTTGCCAGGGACTGAAGAAGGGGGAAATTTGAGTTACTAATCAAGGGACATATAGTTTCAGTCAAGCACAATGAATAAGCACTAGAGAAATGCTGTACAACATTATACCCATAATCAATAATTACATATTACACTTAAAAATTTGTCCAGGCCGGGCACAGTGGCTCACGCCTGTAATCACAGCACTTTGTGAGGCCGAGGCAGGCAAATTACAAGGTCAGGAGTTTGAGACCAGCCTGGCCAATATGGTGAAACCCCATCTTTACGAATAATACAAAAATTAGCCAGGTGTGGTGGTGCACGCCTGTAGTCCCAGCTACTCAGGAGACAGAGACAGAAGAATCGTTTGAACCCAGGAGGCGGAGGTTGCAGTGAGCCCAGATCACACCACTACACTCCAGCCTGGACAACAGAGCATGACTTTGTCTCAAAAAAAAAAAAAATTGTCCAAGAGTAGATCTCATGTTAAATGTTCTTAGGTGTTCATTGACATAGAGAGGTCTGAAGATCACTGAGAATAAATTATAATTATAAAGCAGAATATATACAATGATTTTCAACTGTTTGCTGCCATAAATCATAAGAAATTTTACAGAGTCCACAATTGAAAGTGGATCACTGAGTCACTGATTTTTGAGTGGGTGGATGGGCAGCATAGTCCCAATTGAAAATAATTTTCATATAGTATGAGGATAAACACACATAAAGATATTATATATATTACATGCATTTACATATATACATAACTCTGTAAGTTTAAGTGTGCAAAAAATATATATCTAAATGGATCTTCACAAAAACTTTTACAATGAATATTTGCCTGAATAATAGTATTGAGAGCTATTGATATTTTCCTTTTCATATTTTCTATCTTCCTTCCATTTTCAATACAACTGTATATTACCTATCGAATCTGAAAACAAATTATAACTATTTTTCATCTGAAAAAATTAATGCTTTTGATATGCTATTCTTAAGTTGAGCAAGACAATTCTTTCTGTTCCCCACGGATTGTCTAAGTTTGTAAACACCTTATAACCAGATTTCTCTTATTTTGTCTGCTAGCTCACTGCCACACGTGTAGGCTTTCAAACAGGGAACAATATATATAAAATGAATGCTTCCTTTATAAATCACACCCTTAAATATTAAGCCTAAATAGTGAAAATACAGAAGGAAGAAATGCTGGCCTCCTTCGTGACTTTCTAACAGCCAACTTCCTCCTCCCATAAGAGGACACTCCTCACATTCCTTAAGGCTTTAGCAGATCCCTGTTCCCTGGAGGAGAAGCAGAGCACACCAAACGTCAGGAGCCAATGCCTCCCTTATACATTAAGAAGTCAATAACTCACTTCTAGTGGGATTAGATCATTGATTCCAACATGATCTTAAGAAGAGTGTTTAATGGCAGCTCTCTCCCTGTTAAACCTCTTAGTACAGTACATTCTTAGGACATATCCTCCCAAGAGAGCAACAGGAGAGATTCAAGTTTAAAAAGCTAAATCAACTCTTTCTGGTTAGTAGCTCAGCAAAGTGGCTACTGAGAAAAAGTCTATGTTGCAAAACGGGAAATCCTGTAGCCTGAGCCACCCACCCACTTCTACTGGACCTAATAGATGCTACTAAGTTCCCGATGTGGAACTAGGAATCAGGAATCGTGTACCATATAAAAATATACCATACTACAGTAAACTCAAAGAAAACCCAGAACAGAAGAGCAGATTCTTCTTAAAGGTCAAAATTTATTTATTCTGTGGAAATATGTATATCACACACACACACACACACCCACACACAAAATAAAAATGGTAAGTACATTTTGAAGTGAAATATTCCTAAAATTAAGGACAGCTCTCCTTTATAGGAAGTGATGCATAATTCAATAGGGTTCAATAAGAACACAAATGTTAATTACATTAGGAAATATACACAAAAGTTGTCCTCATTTACACAAAAGTTGTTGCAATAAAATATTTGTTAAACATTCTTTTATTCTACACATAAAAAATCATTTCATCTTTAAAACAAATGATCTAGAAATATATATGACTGAACAGGTCTAACTCTAAATCCAGGTCAGAATTTAGGCTACAATTTCATGATGTACAACTATTCTGGGTAGTAGGTATTATTAGCAGCAATTTTATAGATAATCAAACTGAGATCAACAAATATGAATTGAGTTGCTCAAAATCAAACAGTAGGTAAATGGAAGGACTGGAATTAGTACCCAGATCTTGACTTTTAAGTCTAATTTTCTTTTCACTGCATCATGTTTCCTCCTAGATATTACAAAGAAAAACTTATTCCTCTGGGTGGGTGAGAATGATTGAGTTACTTGTTTAATTTTAAAATATTTAAGAACACAACTTACAATTTCTTCAAGAGAGAAATAATATTACTAGGCTGGAATATTACTAATTAGATAAGAAGTTGTTGATGCCTTTGAGGGGAGTCTAATTATGAAAGTTAGGCTGGGCACGGTGGCTCACGCCTGTAATCCCAGCACTTTGGGAGGCCTAGGTGGGTGGATCACCTGAGGTCAGGAGTTCAAGGCCAGCCTGACCAATGTGGTGAAACCCCGTCTCTACTAAAAATTCAAAAAAAATAGCTGGTTGTGGTGGCACACACCTGTAATCACAGCTACTTGGGAGGCTGAGGCAGGAGAATCGCTTGAACCCAAGAGGCCAAGGTTGCACTGAGCCAAGATCACGCCATTGCACTCCCACCTGGGCAACAAGAATGATACTCCGTCTCAAAAAACAATAACAATAATTATTATTATTATTAAAGTAGTAAAAAGACAGCATTATGATTTGGTGCATTTAATCCTTAGGATAACATAAATCCTGAGGGTAGCACTGCAACTATCCTTCTCAGGCTCCAAGGTGCAGTATATTATTTGATGGTGAGGAGTGACACTGATCTACCAGTTTTGTCCCAGGGACTTGGTCCTGAGTTCCTCTAGAATGTTAACTAAAAAAAGATTGTGAGAGTCAAATATAAGTTTTCTAACAAATCTACCCTTTGAGGGCAAGAGGGTTGGGGAGCTGTTAAAATTGTTGGAACTATGGAAGGAAAGGAAACCACTCAGCAAACATTAAAGGAACCATGCTTAGAGAAGAAAGGAGGATCCCTCGGGCTAATAGGACAGGCATCACTGCCAATATCCACAGGCTTTAAGGTATGCTGAGGTCATGTAAATGGAAGATATGACAGGACATCCGAACTAAAACCACAGGAAAAAGATTGGTTCAGGCAGCTGCAGAGGAGCAATTCAATGGCTACTGAGAAGAGTTTGTGAGTCATCCCAAGATTGGCTTAAGAAAGAGAGAGGTTTCAACAAACAGGAATTCTAGTCAATAAGCTGTTGGTACTGATAGGCAAAGATTAGTTAGAATGAAGGTTATGCTGATGTGACAACCAGTTCTAAATTACAGTATTCTAGGTTGACACAGATCTTTAGTTCCCATGATTCGTGAACCGTGTTTCTCCCACCTTGTTACTCTGCTATCCTGTACGGCATTTTCCTCTTTTGCATTTGCAAGCTGGATGCAGACACATCATTTTCAGCTCATTAAAAATGTCCCAGATGGACGTGGTGGCTCACGCCCATAATCCTAGCACTTTGGGAGGCCAAGGCAGGCAGATTGCCTGAGCTAAGGAGTTCAAGACCAGCCTGAGCAACATGGTGAAACCCCGTCTCTACTAAAATACAAAAAAATTAGTCGGGCATGGTGGTGGGCGCCTGTAGTCCCAGCTATTCGGGGGGCTGAGGCAGGAGAATCGCTTGAACTCGGGAGGCGGAGGTCGCAGTGAACCGAGATCGCACCATTGCACTCCGGCCTGGGTGACAGAGTGAGTCTTGGTCTCAAAAAAAAAGTCCTAAGATCCAGGCCCAGAAGTGCCACAGCTAACTTCTCACATACTTTTGGTAAGATTTTAGACATGGACACTCCTAACTCTGAGGAAGATTGGAATATGTAGTCTTTAGTTTACCTTAGCTACAATTCTATTATTAAGGAAGGAGGGAACAAATTTTGGTAGGCAACCAATAATCTCTATCAACTAGCAGTTTGCTATCTTCATTTTTATTCATATGTCCATGATTGTGCCCCATCCCCAACCCTAAAAAGCTAGAAATTTGGAAAGGAATATATTTCACCATGGGTATGTTTAAGATTCCCACAGCCTTTGTGTAATTTTAGTTAGTATGTAGTATCCAATACAAAATGGAAGTGCAGTTTTTTCTCAGTAAATTGCTTTGTTGTCTTCCAAGTCAGAAGAATGATAGTAAGACACTGGAGTGATAAGTCTGAATCAATGCCTGGAACAGTAAGAAGCACCCTCACATAACAGAACCTAAACTTGGACATCAAATAAATTGCTGCATGTTATATTATAAATCTCTTTAGTACCTTTTACACATATGTGAAAATCAAGAAACACTAATTAAAAGCACAGATTATCTTGATAACTAGTTGTTCATTCTATAATGAAAGATCCAATTCAAATAGCCCCAAATTACACAGAATACTCGTTCTGTGTAAAAGTTCCAGCTATATCTGGCATATAACTGCTTTACTAAGTTCGACCATTAGAGTGTTGTTTTTTATTAAGTTCACTCAAATAAATTACCTTCACAGTCTGTCCTAGAGACTAAAATAAAGTCTGTACAGACCTTTTAAAGCAGAATCTTTTCATGGCGTTGTGTTAAAGGCCAACAAATTAGAATTAATCTTCAAAGTTTCATGTGGCTGAATCTATAAAAACACTTATTGTCTTGACTATTTTAAATGCCTTGACATAATTTTCTTAAAATGGCATTTATTACAGTTAGTAAAATAATTTTAAATTGTTGCTTAATATTAAAGAATGTTGCCTTTTAAACCAATTAATTTGGTGTCAAGTAGATGTAATTTCAAAATTGCCTCCAACATTTAACAGAGTCTATTGCATAGTTATGTTCCACTATAAATTACTTTTTAACAATATCATTCTAATTAACATGATTAAATAATTTTGAGATTATTTTAGAAAAGAGGGGGACTTGAAAAAACAGAGATTCTAATAATTAAGCTTCTGGTGCACCTGGCCAAAGATTGGTTAGAGTGAAGGTTTCCCAGACTATGTTTTCCAGAGAAAAACAAAAGTGTGATAGGAAAAGAATGTTCATCTCGATCCATGGGCAAAATGTAAAGTATAAAAAATGGAAAACTATCCTTAGAAGAGAAGTCATTGAAATATCTTAATGTAATACTAAGAGACTGCTCCAGCTAGCGTTGAATGTGAGATCAAAAAACAATTGTGTGAGTTTTACATTTCTAAAGTATTTTCCACACAGAAACTGTATCCGTATGGTGAATTACATGTACCTCTATCCACAGAAAAGATAATCAGGACAGCAGCAAAGCACGCTCAACACGCACTGTTCCAGCAAAATCCTTGATCTCAAATTTAAAGAGAGAAGAAACAGACTCAAAGATGGTTGTTAAGGAATTCTGGCAGAATCTCTTCAGAGAGAGAAGTTAATAGGTGTAATAAATGACCCAGGGCACTGGTAGGAACAAATTATATAAATAAACTTAAGAAGAAGTTATACAAAAAAGGTGGACCCAAACAAATGTGAACCTGTAAGTTAGGAAAGCAAGCTCAGAGGATGGCATGGCCCATTAAAAGCTGTTTGACCTACTGCACCTCTATTCTTTTGTCAAAGTTATAGGAGTATCCTCTTAAGCTGTCACTTTTACAAATGTAAGCAAAATAATTTTATAAAGAGATATTTTGTCTTATTAAACACTGCCCCAGTACATCGTCCAAATTTCCCTCTTACCTTGAAGGAAACGTGAATGAATATTGGAGCAGAAGGTTTACATTAGAGTTTTTATTTAAATTATCATTACCATAGGCTCTTAAATCACCTAATGATTCGTTTGCCTTGCAAACCTAAAACAGAACTTTTTAAGATAAACTTTAACTTGCTACAAGTCATAAAATTATTTCCATATAAAGTCTGTTTATTAAATGTGTTAAACTGTTATATGGGCCCTTTAAATTTATGGAAAGGCAAAAAAACTGCCTGGCAGCAATACCTGCAAAAGCAATATACACTAGGGAAAAAATCATACTATAGGAATAGAGAGTAGACAAAGAATATCTGAAATATCCAAGGCTGGAAATTGAATTACAAAGTCCAGCATGAGCCAAGATGATCTCATTTTATGTGGAGCCATCCTTAAGGCAAAGATTACAGCTCTAAACTTTATCTTTTAGACTTTCATTATTTTGGCTAATTCTAAGAGGAGGCATTTCAGACTTCTTCATCTCCTGATTAAAGGAATGTAATGACTAATTGGGGTTCAACACCCCATAGCCCTTTTCCCCATTTTTGGATGCAAACAAATTCCTGAAAAAGATATGGTTACAAATTACTATTGCTCCCAGCAAAAGATCATAAGGTTAATGTTTTAACATTTCTGGGATATACCTGCTAATTGTAGAGATTTTCGCTGCGAACACATATATAGCGAACACTATATATGGCCAGTTTAGCTTTGCAACACTTTGCAACTGGTACATTAAGCCATTAGAAAAATTATTAGTGATAAATATCTCTTTCTATCAAATAACAAAGATTTCCTGAAGTGAAGTTGCACTGCTACATCAACAACCAGACATTATTATTTTTCCTATGGCACTTCAGTAATAATTAAGAAGAGAGCTCCATGAAGCATCTAAGCTCCAAGGGGGTTATCTGACAGACTAGAAAAACTTCTTTCTTAAGTCTTTGGATACTTTACATATATATATATATATATATATATATATATATATATATACACACACACACACACACACACACACACACAGTATATTTGTATCTATTCCTCCAAGAGTTCACTGGAGCATGTCAGAGGGTTGACAGTTTCAGAGAAAATATCACTTCAGAATATTTTATGACATCTTTAGCCTGTGAATATGCAGTGATTTTTTTTTTCCTTTTTTTTGCCACCTTCCTGATTAGGAATGAACATGCAGTGATTAGGCACTGATTTTGTTTCCACATCTTCATAATTATAGCTGAAAGTGAAATCATTCCTAACCTCCTGCTATTCACCAAGCCAAATAACCATGAACATAAACAACACAGAGAGCAAGCCGTACAGTCATTTAGAATTTGATCTGAAAACAGATTTTCTGCTTTATTAATTTAATTACACAAAGGAACATTGTGTTTTTCTGACTACCTCATGACATTGTGATGAAAATTAAGAACTTAGAAGTCTTTTAAAAAGCCTTATCTCTTTGGTTACAAAAACTACCCAACATGTGATTTATCAAGAATATCTCCCATTTGTGTCATACAAATTCCAAAGGAAATAAAGACGACATTACACATGTTTATCTTGATGCAGTGACTGGTTTCTTCATTTTTGATGAGGAACAAAGGAAAAATATTTGTAACAGGTTCCCATCTAGCTGTTACAGAACCTGAAGTCTAAGTGTTACCCTGAACAAAACTGCTCTTAAACGTGGTTATGTTTTTCTCATTACTATCACTTTTGACAGGTATAGCATGATACTGCCAAGTAAGACTTACGTATTTAAGTGAAGTAATGCAAGAAAAATGACGAGTTATATAGGTTGTACTTTGCAAACACAAATCCATTTGATATGTATGTGCTAGCCTCATCAAGATCTCAAAAGGAAAATAAAGTGCAATTTAAAGATTAATTAACATCTAAGAACAAATGTTCACTTGCTACCTCAGAAACAATCATATGATATAGATATTATCACCCCCATGTTCCAATAAGTTGACTGAAACTTAGATGTTGAGTGATTTGCCCAATTATACAGCTAGTCATCAGTGGAATCAGATTCTGAACCCAGGACTTGGGATGCCCAATCCAATGTTCTTTCCACTGCACCATGTTGTGTCCTACAAAACACTCGATAATCATTTGTCTGAAAGGTAATACTGAGAAAAGCTCATTATATGATTCAGTGTATGACTTTGGGGTACCCATGCAGATTTCCAACTTATGGGGCTCACTGAGAGATAAGGAAGCAGCCAGGAGGGCAGCAGTAAATCCCTAAATGTCATTCAAAAGAAAACACCCCAGAGAAATTAATTTTAGCCTTGGCAAAGGTATATTGACTTTTGTTAGTTTCCCTTTGCTGGATTTTACTAAAAGATGGTGCATGCATAAATCAAAAAATACAAGAAGAATACAAATTGGCAAAAATAAACAAACAGAAAACTAGGTGGGGAAAGGAGACGAGCATTTATTTCATAAATGCAATACTCTTTATGAAACAAATTATTTCTACCAATTTTATGTCATATGTCAATTAAATTTTATTTTGGATTCATTTGCAGAACTAATTATTCAAAGGAATATTTTATTACTTTTAAGTATCTTTTATAAGCAAATATTAATGTTTGGCATATGTGTCTGTGGCAATACAGCACAATGGCTAACAACAGGAACTTTAGCGCGCCACACTGCCTACGATTTAATACTGACTCCTCTGCTTACCAGCTGTGTAGTATTCAGCAAGTTACTTAACCTCTCTGTATCTCAATTTTCTCATGTATAAAATAAGAGACTGATAAAAATAGTACCTACCTCAATGCTACTGTGTGAGTTAAAATGAACACTTTATACATATATATATAGAGAGAGAGAGAGACAGAGAGAGTTTTTGCAACAGTAAGTACTGGTACATAGTTAAGTACTAAACATGTTAACTGAACATATTATCACATTGCTTAATAATGTACCTCTATGTTTCAAATTAATGCCCATTTGAGATCTGAATAAATACTGATAAGATAATCATGGTAATGTAAAATTATCATAACCACATTAAATATACTATTGGCCACTATAGTGTATAGTTCTTTGGTTATAAGACAAATATCTATAATTAAAGACACCATTAAGCCAGTTTTTCAGACACATGGAAATAAAGTATTGAGGAATGCATAACTAGGGGTATGAGCTGAAATAAATAAAGAATAGAAAGAAAAACAGATATTATATATTGAAGACATAGATATATACAACAGATATACACATCAAAAAAATGGCAATGATCTGGAAACAAACCTGACTACTAAAGTGAAGTGACAGTCTGCCTAACCTGAGCACACCAAGAAAGTCTTGTTGACATCTTAAACATTGTTCCTACCCAGATTCCAAAAAGTCTGAAGTTCTAATATTAAAAGACTTATCCTATTGAATAAACTTCCCTCGATACATTTCATTCCTGGGTTTATTTTTATTTTTTATTTGTATTACAAATTGACAAATTAGCATTGTATCAATTCCTTTTTTAAAACAAAATTGTTCCTAAGAAAGGTTCGGCACACACAAATTAATTCATTGTAAGGTATTATTAATGACTGGTCAGATTCTCCTTTCTAAGAAAATGGAGACTCATGGGACAGAAGAGTTCAATCTTGTTTAGCACTTCCTTTTTGAGCAAGAAAGGAAGAAGAAAGGAAAAACACTAGAAGGAATAAACTAGTAGGGGGCTGCTGAAAGAGCCCACAACCAGGCCTCGCTTGATTTTCCTCCATTTTTATCCTCTAGACCAGGCATGGCAAACCTTTTCTCCAAAGGACCAGATAGTAAATATTTTAAGCTTTGCAGGGCATATGGTCTCTATCACAACTACTCGACTCTGTCACAAAAGCCCAGAAACAGCCTGAGATAATATTTAATGCATGGGAGCTGTTGTGTTCCAATAAAACTTTATAAATACAGCTTGCAGGAAGATTTGGCCCACAAGATGTAGTCTGCAGACAACCTGGTCTAGGCCAGTAGCCACCTCAGATTTTTTTTTATAAACCCCCTGTAACCATATTATTCCATATAAAATTTAATTAGTAATAAAATGATATAAAAGTGTTCTGTAAAGAGGGCAAAAAGAGCATGCATTAAGGTGTTCGAATCTTTAATCCAAGTAAAATGGAAGGTAAACCCAAAACTCAGTTATACATATCTACATATAAACCTTATAACAGTGGGAACGTAGGCCCCAGGTGGTCTCACACCGATGTTCTGAAATTTGTGAAGGTTATCCTCTCTCAGTGTTTTCTTTTTCTAGACCCCCCAACACAGAGATTTCTCCATTTTAACAAATAAGGAAACAAACTTTAAAAATATTAGGGAACCTAAAGTCAAGCTGGCATGTGACAGAACCAAATTGAAACCCAGATTGACCTGACTCCAAAGCCCATGCTGAAAAGAAACTTTGAATTGTTCTCATCAATGGAAAAGGCAGCCTTCACTAGAACCCTTAAATTAATATTGATAGTATAAGCACATATCACAGGTAAAGCAGATGACTATGGCAGGTTTTCACTGTGGAGGTTCTTGATAAACCTGTCTAGAATAGTATCAGGTATCTAATCATAATAGTTACTGTTGGGTATTTTAAGAAAATGTAAACTATATATACATTCAGCCTATATTTTTGTTACTCTAAATATTTTAAACAATTATTTTATTTTGGAAATATCCAAGCATAAGTTGAATATTGCTTTTTAGAGTAAGATTGTTAATATTTAACTTAAAGCTATATATTTACAAAAATATATCCTAGAGAGGAAAGGAACAAAAACTATGTAAATTTTGCTAAATATCAAAGGAAAGTACAATAGATAAATCCAATTCAAAACATTTATTGGACTCTTACTTAAATTATGTGAAACATCTATACAAACTAAACTTCTGGGGAAATTCATCATGTAAATTTTATTTTTTTATGTTTAACTTTTGTTAGGTCCAGGGTACATGTGCAGGTTTGTTATATAGGTAAACTGCATGTCACAGAGGTTTGGTGTACCGACAATTTTAAAAGAATAATCAGGTAAGGCAAATGGAGTTTTGAATTAAACCACTGCTTCCTCACAAAAGAACCACCTGTGATAATTCACACAAAGAAACACATGACATTACAGTATACATTTTATTTATAAGGGATTATAGTTGCTTCTATCCTAAGAATAAGTACAATGCACTTTGGATTTTCCTTAGGCTTCTGAGATTATATTATGACATTGATTTCTATATCTGTCATGATATTTTAACCTGGAAATGTATTGCTGAACTAGTATACACTATCTTGGATCTCTGAGTAGGGCTACTATAGCACTAAGATTACAATAGGATCATCATAAAAGAATTGCAGTATATTATTCGGGATTACCTACATTCTGAAAACCAATTTCAATGTTGCATCATTTCTCTTTTGATATACAGATAGTTTCTAATGACTAAATTAAGCACATTCTACATAAGACTTTAAAAAAAGCATGATTGCAGGAATCTAGTAACGGCAAACTAATTAATTTGGACAAATGCTCAGCTAGAAAGGCTGAACAAAATATTTTTAAAAACATATTCTCCATAGCATTGAAAGGTTAAAAAAAAAATAGTGAAGAATTACGAGACCAAGATCTGAGGAGGACTGGGGACCAAGGAGATGAGCGTTGCATTTGAAGCTACTCATTCCCTGGGAGATCTGAAAAATCCCGGAGAGGTAGCAGAAAGGCTAAGAAGCTGAACAGTGATTTTGCTAGTATTATAAAGCTAGAAGGAGAAGGGTTAGCCACCAGGAGCGCTAGCATTCTTTTGGTTAGTGCTTGCATGGCATAACTGTATTTAAATTTAAATAAATTAGTATTTACATTAAATTTAAAAGTAGACTAAATGTTTCAATTTAGATTAAAATATTATAACAGAATTTTTAAATTCTATGCTATAATAGACATACCTAAAGCAAATACATACAGAAAGTTGAAAGTAAAAGAATGATAAATATTATGCCGTGAAACTCTAACCAAAAACATAGTGTAATTATATCAATCTAAAATACAGTAGATGTGAAAGAAAAAAGCATTGCTAGAGATAAAATCGTCCATTTCTTAATGACAAAAGTTCAATTTACCAGGAAAATTTACTTCTAAATGTATAAACACATTATCACATAGCCTCTTAATATTACATTAAAAATTTATAGTATTCCAAAGAAAAAATAGACAAGTCTACAACCATAGTGGAAAATTCTAACAGACCTTTCAGTAAATGTTAATACAAATGACAAAATATCAGTAAGAACTTAGATAATTTTAACATATGATTAATAAAATTTGACCTAACTCACAGACACAGAACACTTTCTTTTCAAGTCATATAATTCATTTTAAACCACATATCATTCACATCCTTTCTGAGCACATATAATTCCCTCATAAAAATTAGAGTTCCCACTGTTCCACATTCTTTCAAATACTAATAGTATTAGATTTTTCTTCTTGTTTCTTCAGAACCATAAAGCAAGTTTTAATAAATTTTGAAAGACTGACATCTACAGTATCTTCTCTGGCTAATAAGGTAAAGTGGATTTCAAAAATTGTAGAAGAATTTTTACATTGGAAATTAATCAGTGTACCCCAAACTGTTTACAGATTCAATGAAATCCCAATAAAAATTCCAGCAGCCTTTGGCTCTATTTTGT
The DNA here is from genome assembly GCF_000001405.40 of Homo sapiens. Classification (NCBI taxonomy): domain Eukaryota; kingdom Metazoa; phylum Chordata; class Mammalia; order Primates; family Hominidae; genus Homo; species Homo sapiens. Next base: position 112,048,348 of record NC_000004.12, read on the forward strand.
TTTGTTTTGCAGAATTCAACAAGCTGATGCTAAATTTATATGGAAATAATGAAGGCCAAAATTATCCTGATATCAAGATTTATATAAAACTACACTTATTAAAACAATATGGTATTGACACAAGAATGACAAATATATCTTTGGAATAGAACAGAGATCCAAAAGACATTCATGTATGGACAGCTGATTTATAACAAAGACAGCACTGCTAAACAGCATGGAAAGGATGATCATTTCAACAACTGGTGCCAAGACAATTGGGTGCCCATGTGAAGAAAAAATAAAATTTGGCCTTTACCTCACACCATATACAAAAATATGAAAGGCAAATCACATAGCTTCTAAAAAACTATATTAGAAAATATATTTATGACCTTGCGGGAGGGGAAGACTTCTTAAACAAAACAGAAAAACCATGAAAGAAAGGGTTGATAAACCAGACTACATTAAACTTAGTCTACATGAAAGATCATGAAAGAAAGAGTTGGTATATTGAAAGAAAGAGTTGGTATAAAGAAAGAGTTGGTTAAAGTTCAAAACTTCCTTTTTTTAAAAAGACACCGTAAGAGTCTCAGGTCCACAACAAATCAATGGATCAATGAGACAAAGTCAATGCAATAGTCATGTGGGCAGCAGACTTAAAACAAGTGCTTCAGGCCGGGCACGGTGCCTCATGCCTGTAATCCCAGCATTTTAGGAGGCCGAGGCAGGTGGATCAATTGAGGTTGGGACTTCGCGACCAGCCTGACCAACATGGAGAAACCCCATCTCTACAAAAAATACAAAAGTAGCTGGGCCTGGTGGTGCATGCCTGTAATCCCAGCTACTCAGGAGGCTGAGGCAGGAAAATCACTTGAACCCAGGAGGCGGAGGTTGTGGTGAGCCGAGATCGTGCCACTGCACTGCAGCCTGGGCAACAAGAGTGCAACTCTGCCTCAAAAAAAAAAAAATGCTTCACAATAGAGGGTATCTAAATGACTGGAAAATATGAAAGGTGTTCAATGTCATTAGTAAAAGGGGAACAGAAATTGAAGCCATTGTGAGATACTACAGTAACCAATGAGAATGGCCAGAATGAAAAAGTCAAATACTATTAGTATTTGAAAGAATGTGGAACAGTGGGAACTCTTAACACTAATAACAGGAGTAATGTCAGTAGAAATAATATGAAAGACAATATAACTATCTTTTAAAATGGAAGATATGTATGCTTTTTGACCCACTATTTCCACTTATATAACTAACAATAATGTATGCACATGTGCTTCAAGAAACATGTTCAAGAATGTTTATGGCAACATTATTCATGATATCAAAAAACTGGAAACAGCACAAATGTCAACCAGTAAATGGAAAATGATAAATTACAGTATGTTCATACAATGAAATTCTCAAATTTTTTATTTTCTTTTTAGAGCGGGTTTTCGCCATGTTGCCTAGGCTTGTCTCAAACTCCTGAGCTCAAAGAATCCGCTCACCTGGGCCTCCCAAAGTGCTGAGATTACAGATGTGAGCCACCACCCCCGGCCACCTATGAGCCACCACGCCCAGCCAGGTCCAGCCTGGCCACCATGGTGAAACCCCATCTCTACAAAAAACACAAAAATTAGCCAGGCATGGAGGTGCATGCCTGTAATCCCAGCTACTCAGGAGGCTAAGGCTGGAGAATCACTTGAACCTGGGAGGTGGAGGTTGTAGTGAGCTGAGATCTCGACATTGCACTCCAGCCTGGGTGACAGAGTGAGACTCCATCACAAAAAAAAAAAAGCAAAGATATGACTACAATATTAGTCAGGATATTAGTTAACTTTAGGAGGCATACAGGGGGCAATGACTGAGAGGAAGTTTGGAAGGACACTTCTGAGAGGGTGATAATACTAAATCTTGACTTGAGTGAGTTCCATGGGTTTAGTTTGTAACAAATCATTAAGCTATATTTTTTTCTTCTTTTTGAGACGGAGTCTCACTCTGTCGCCCAGGCTGGAGTGCGGTGGCACGATCTCGGCTCACTGCAACCTCCGCATCCGGGGTTCAAGCAATTCTCTGCCTCAGCCTCCCAAGTAGCTGGGAATACAGGCATCTGCCACCATGCTGGCTAATTTTTTTGTGTTTTTAGTAGAGACGGGGTTTCACCATGTTGGCCAGGCTGGTCTTGAACTCCTGACCTCTTGATCCATCCACCTCGGCCTCCCAAAGTGCTGGGATTACAGGCGTGAGCCACTGTGCCCGGCCTCATTAAGCTATATTTTTGTTCTGTGGACTATTCTGTATGCATGTTATATTTTACAGTTTAAAAGTATTTTTAAATTACTTTCTACATTAGAATTGAAACTGAAATTCAAAATACATATGTATAGCTATTTGAGATTGCAATGATGTGCTTGAAATGAGGAAAAAATACTGACATTACAGGGTTAGCTTTGCAGAATACTTGCCAAACAATTGAGACAAGCAAGTAATAGTAATAATAGCAAATATCATAATAATAATGGCTAAGACTTACAGCACTTACTATGTGTCAGTCACTATTCCAAACCATTTACATACATTAACTCATTTATTCTTATAAGTCTTGTAAACATATAGAACAGAAATATCTTAATAGATATCCCTTCTTCTAATCTGAATCATAGAAGTGCTATTTGTGATGAAATACAAAGCACAAGAAAAACAGCTCTGAGTGTAATAGTCACCACTGCTCCAAGGGTGCAACCTTTCCTGAAGTCATGGGTCACAACAAACAAACAAAAACACCTGTCAAGGAGTTTATGCCAGTAAATCAAGAAGAGATTAGATATTTTAAGACAGATCAAGTGTCTGTCCATCAGCTAAGGGTGGAGCCAGTTAGGAAGCATTGTCAATAAATGAGTGAATTCAGCAGAAGTTTTTTTTTTTAATCCAGATTATCTAATTAACCCACCCCAATGTTGAATATCTCTTCACATGCTAGAATTTTCCTTAACATGTGGAAGTAGAATATATTTTTTTTAATTTTTAAGATCCAAATGTACTGTTAAAATAAATTTTTCTTATATCAGCTAATATACTATGTGAAATTAAGGGGACCTTGTAGAGTAGTAGTAAAATATGACTATCAAATTCTCTATGGTCGTAAGGATGTGTGCAACCATCTAGGACACCACTAAATATGTAGACACTACAGCATCTTTGAGTCACCAGTAAGATATTTTGATTCTTTTTTAATTCTGAGATTAAAAACTCACTGAGAATTGTGTTTAATTTATGACAACTTAAATATCCAGTCTACTATTTGGTAAAATAAAATCAATTTCCATAGATACATGGATTGGCATGGTCAACTAATTCAGAGTTGGCTGAATATTTCAGTTTTCAATTCTCTATTTGGATTTGGTGTAGACACACTGTTCATTTTTACTCCTTAGCTCTTTCAACATATGAAATATCCACAGATATAGAAAATCATCCCTCCTATAGCTTTAATCACAAAAGATAGGTATGGACCTTCTACATGGTAATGCCACTTACAAAGGCAAGGTGATTAGAAATCAGTCAACATATTAAGAAGTTGTTCTGCAAACTTTCACTAAAAGAGAACAGTTCTGTTTCATCAGAATTTATTGAAACCATATTATTTATATAGTTTAATTATTTATATAGTTTAAAATTCTATTATTAAACAGCAGTGATGAAAACACAAGATAAAGTCACTTTACCAACATCTGTATTCTTAATGAATTATGTTATTTACACTAGGGAATATTAATTTTCTTTTTTTTCTTTCCCTTTACTAATAGTAATACAATCATTTTCACAACAGGAATATTGCAGCGGTATGATAAAATTCATTTTTAATGCTAAAGATAAAACAAAATTGTATTTCTTTCATAGTAAGAATGATGTATGATCCAAACTTTTAAGTTATTAGACTTAATTTAAATAGGAAAGTTTAGAATATATTTTGAGTTCAGATTCATCAATTCAGCAGTGAGCTATCTTTTGTAAACCCTACTCTATATTTTTAATTAAACTTTTATTTTGAGATAATTATAGATTACATGCAGTTTAAAAAAACAGAGACCTTGGCTGAGCGTGGTGGCTCACGTCTGTAATCCCAGCACTTCAGGAGGCCGAGGCAGGCAGATCACCTGAGATCAGGAGTTCGAGACCAGCCTGGCCAACATGGCGAAACCCTGTCTCTATTAAAAACACAAAAAAATTAGCTGAGTGTGGTGGTGCATGCCTGTACTCCCAGCTACCTGGGAGGCTGAGGCATGAGAATCACTTGAATCCAGGTGGCAGAAGTTGCAGTGAGCTGAGATCACACCACTGCACTCCAGCCTGGGCAACAGAACAAGACTCCATCTCAATAAAAATTTTTAGAAAGAAAAGCAAAGATCTCATACACAGCTTACCTATTTTCTCCCAATGGTAACATTTTGGAAAACTATGGTACTATCACAACCAAGATCATGACACTGATATAACCAATATACAGATTATTTCTATCACAGGGATCCCTCATGTTGCCCTTTCATGGCCGCACCCACTTTCCCTTTGCTCTTCCCCCATTCTAAATCCACCAGTAATCTATTATTCATTTCTATAATTTTGTCATTTCAAGAATGTTATTTTTTATGGAGTCATACTGTATGCAACCTTTTAGGATTGGCTTTTTTCACTCAGCATAATTCTCTGGAGATTCATCCAAGCTGCTGTGTATATAATCAGTAGTCTGTTCCTTTTCATCGCTGAGAAGTAATCCATGGTATAGATGTACCACGGTCTGTTCAACCATTCACCTGTTGAAGGACATCTAGGCTGTTTCCAGTTTTGGCCATTACAAATAAAGCTATGATAAACAGTCATGGAAAGATTTTTTGGGAACATAAGATCTTATTTGTCTGGGATAAATGCCCAGGAGCACAATCGCTGGGTCGTGTAGTAGTTGCAAGTTTAGTGTTTTTAAGAAACTGCCAAATTGTTTTCCAAAGTGGCTGTACATTTTACGTTCCCACTAGTAATGTACAAATGATCCAGTTTCTCCACATTCTGGCCAGCATTTGGTGAATCCTTGTATTTTTTAGTGTCAGCAACTTGTTAGTGCAGAAATATTCAGACAAGGTATTTGTGTAAGTAATTGCATTTCCTTATGAAGTGATATGTTCAATTATATATAAGTAAAAGATGGACAGTTACAAAAAATTAACAATAAAAATTGAAAGAAATAAAATCGAACCAATATAAATTAGATGACAACTACATATCCTGTATTTACTTCTAATACAATTTTTATGAGTCAATGACTTATCTCTCATTGAAAACAAAATACTCTTGACAAGCTCATCTTCAACCACATCTTAAATTTACAGCTTTATCAACATCTTTTTTGGTCAAAAGAAATCAACCTATCAGCATAAATATATGGTCAAAAACAGGGTGCTATCACATGCATTCACTTTATTTTCTTTTCTCTTCTTTCATTTTCATTTTCTTTCTTTTCTTGCATATTTACTTGCTCTCTGCTTCAGATTATTCATCAAAGCCAGTTGTAACCCTTCAAACACAATTGTCCGCGGAAGTGTTGCTAATCATTTGAAAAAGCTCAGGAAAAAAAAAATGTTGTAATTCACCTAGACTCAACTCACTACCTTAAGAAATCCATGGGATTATATGCCTATTCAGTTATTGAGGGAGTTAAATCCAGGCTTAGGTATAATAAAAGCTTGCTAAAATGCCTTTTGTCCTCTTACTGGAATACACATTCTTACATGCAAAACTGAGGAGCAGGAAGCAATTGCAGGAAGAGGAAAGATAGCAATACAAAGTGAGAATAACCAGAACTTGTTCTCTTGTGTTTTGAGTTAGCCTTTGCTTTCCATACCTTGAGAAGCATCAAATTAAAAGAATGTGACTCAAGACCACAAAAAAAGTAACCTCATAGATTTACAGGCCTGCACAGAAGTTCATGTAGTTGCACAGCTCCAAGCAGAAGGTTTATGTTCATTTAAGAGTGGAAAATTTTCAAGTTCTTCCAGAAGCACCATCTGTTTCTACTGGCTCGTCATGGTTTGAATTATTTATTACAATAACCTCAGATTTATTGGGTTAACCTTTGGATTGACTCCTAAAATTAACTATTGAATATTTATTATTTTTTCAGTAGGATAGTAGAATACAAAAATTAATTTTACCCTAGTATTGAAAGCACCTTAAGGTCTTTATCATAACCAAAATGACAGAAGGAATTATATTGTTTATCGCGTCTAATAGGTTTGATCCCTACAGCTATGTAATTGGTCCACTAGATGATGCTATGGTGGTTAAAATTTTTAAAAGATGATCTGTGCAAATTTCAAACAACTACAAAAATGTTTTTAAAATTTTTTAAACATAGTTTTAAAAATAGTTAACATAGGATACCTGCCTTATCAATCTGTTAATGAGAAATGGAAAAAACACAGAGTTCCTAAAACTAAAGCCAGGACTTAAAAGCTGACAAACAGCTTTCTATGAATCTTCATGATCTGGTAAGTCTCAATATCTTAAGAAAAATATAAGTGACTTTTTAGAAGCAAAGTTAATGATAAACTGCATGCTATGAAAGAATTAAATACAGAAACATTGGGGAAAAAGCATTTCCAAAGAAGGCAGAGATATAAAGTTAAATTAATTTTAGTGAGAGGTTTTTTTTTTAATGGGGGAGGAAGAAAACACAATTTTTTTTGCATATTTAAGAATTCCGTTTAAACCTTGTTTGATTTTTTAGACTGGCACAAAAAGCTTCCAGTTAAAAATAGACAAATTTAGAAAAATCAGTTAAGGACCTAATTACCACACCAAATTGAGTAGTCAATTTCCACCTTCTTGAACTAAGCAGCAATTCTTGCTACCTTCAGGCCATTAACACCACTAAACCAATTCCACTGCATTTTCTCAAGCTTTGGCTTCAGGGCAGCTCCTAATTGGCTGATGGCATTAGAGAGCATTGGGTGCTACAGGGCTACAGTTCCTTCTAAAGGAAGGTATCAGTTCTTCATTCTTTATTTCTTGTGCTTTTGTCAAGGCTTTTTTTGTTTTGTTTTGTTTTGGTTTGGTTTAAGCTTTTCACCCACTCATACTTAATAATAAGTTTTTGCTATTTAGGACCAGCAAAAACTAAGGAGCAATTATTCTCCATTTTTCTTTGTTTTAAAGTGTCACTTTAGTGAATATTAGCCATTTGAAAAAAGTGTAGATAAATATTTAAGTTTGCTAGTACAAAGTTACTCATAAAAAAAATAGAAAGGAGTCCTAGCAGCTTCTGAAAACACAGAATGCAACCTGGAAGAGATGGCCAAGTCCCACAAAATCAATTTTTTTCTTAATGGGAAACATTTCAAAGTATGAGTGATATGTAACTTATCTAAGTGTTTTGAATCTTTGAATCTTAATCATTTGAATTTTTATGAAGTAGAGTCCTTAAAGGAAAGCATACCATACTTAACTCCTAAAAGACCTCTTTCTGATTAAACTATAGTATCAATTATAGCTCTTTATATCAACTATTATGACATTGCCATCTTGAAATTCTGTATTACTGAAAAAAATTTTCAGAATTCATTTCTTTCTTTTTTTTTTTTTTTTTTTGAGACAGGGTCATGCTCTGTCACCCAGGCTAGAGTGCACTGGCATGATCTCAGCTCACTGCAAACTCCGCCTCCTGGGTTCAAGTGATTCTACCGCCCCAGTCTCCCAAGTAGCTGGGACTACAGGTGTACACCACCACACCTGGCTAATGTTTGTATTTTTGGTAGAGATGGAGTTTCACCATGTTGGCCATGCCGGTCTCGAACTCCTGACCTCCACTGATCTGCCCGCCTCAGCCTTCCAAAGTGCTAGGATTACAGGCGTGAGCCACCACGCCTGGCCCAGAATTCATTTCTTAATTTTCAAATTAAATAGTCAATGGAAGGAAAAACATAACCCCCTTCTTTGGGATCACTTTCAGTTTAGTGACTATTTATTAATATTTATAGCCATAGGGAAGAAAAAACATTTGCAGCCTATCATTATTTCTTTGTTACTATAATAAGGACTGCTGAATCCTTAATATATGTTGTGCACAAATAAACCCAGATAGAAAACAGGAGACCAAAGTCAGTTGTCCCATCAACAGCTGAAGCACAACCCTGACAAAGAGCATTGGCTCAGGAAGATAGAGAGAGCATGAGATGGACAACACTCAAATGCAGTTGAGTATGACAGACACTGAGAATTTGAGGCACTGTGTATTTGAAGATGAATAAGTTGCTATCCTTGTCTTCAAAAACTCCATAATTGGCCTGGTGTGGTGGCTCATGCCTGTAATCCCAGTACTTTAGGAGACAGAGCAGGGAGGAATGCTTGAGGCCAGGAATTCAAGACCAGCCTGGGCAACATAGTGAGATCCCATCTCTAAAATAAAAAATAAAAAAATTAGCCAGGCGTGATGGCAAGTGCCTGTAGCTATAGCTACTCAGGAGGCTGAGGTGGGAGGATCGCTGGAGTCCAGAGGTTTGAGGCTGCAGTGAGCTATGATCGTGCCACTGCACTCCAGCCTGGGTAACAGAGTGAGATCCTGGCTCAAAAAAATAACTTCATAATCTAGTTGGGAAATAGATATTTACATAAATAATTACAATGGCTACTATAATTGCCCATCTCATCACACCACAAGGAGGCAGGTCCAAGATGCAGTGGCTATAAGACTCTCACTGCACATCTACTACACTCAAACAAAAACTGCTTAGAATTGTTTGCTAAGCACTTCTGTCCGAATACAATGGGTACAACAAAGAAGTCTGAGATCCTTATAAGGTCCAAATACTCAAGTTGCTATCTCTCCACCTTAGGCAAGAAAACCAACATATGCTGAACACTGGTGAACAGGGAGTATTAACCTCTCTTAACACTGACTCTAAGTCATAAATACTCAAAAAGTTGAGAATCTGTTTAAACAGCAATAGTCTAAGAAGGCAGTTTGGAAGAGAAGCGGTTTAGCTTCTATCTTCACTACTCTACTGAAGATGCATTTTTTTCAGGGTCTAGAATGAGTTTTTTATTGAATGTTCAAACCTTTCTCTGGAGTTACATGATTCTCCACCTCTTGCTATGCCATTCTTTCTCCATCTCCCCCTTTCCTACCCCATCACACCAAGCCAGATGCCAAACCCTACAGCTACCACTGCACTGTCTCTCACATCTACCACTTATTTTCCATCTGCTTATCTGTATCAGTCACAGTTCCAAAAAACAGATGCACACCTAAACGATTAACTCCTAAGAGGTGGATGAAAAAATTATCTACAGAGGTGTAAGGAATAATGAAACATGCAGGAAGTCATAACCACAGGAAGCAGTTACCACCTAGAGGCCTGAAGGAGCAAGATTAGGCAGTTGTGTTACTGAAACGCAAAGAGAGCTGTATCCCAGGGCGAGGGCCCACCTCATTGGTGCTGTGACTGCAAGAAGAAGGAAGGCAGCCACTGCCAAAACCAAGGCCCAGAAGTGTAGGTGATAGGCCATGAGGAATAAATACTCCAGCCTCTTTCTTCTCCTACCCTTCATTCTTCTGGTTTTGTTTCCATTGACCAAGTCCAGCTGAAAGCCAGAGACAATGGAGCTCAAGTGATGTGGCCCACAGAATTCAAAAGGGCAAAGAACAGACCTTTAGGGGCAAACAGAGAAACACCAGCACATCATACTCAGAAAGCACAAAGCCTCAGGATTCCTTGCCTAGATTATTACAATTTCCTTATGGTTCTCTTTTCTCTGTAGTCAATCCTCCAGCCCATGCATTGGTTCAATAAATATTGTTTAAATTTTTTAGTTAAAAACACACATAAGAAAGGCATTCTCTGACCACCTCCCCATCACTCTCTATCTCTACCTATTGCATTATTCTCTTATTTATATCTCTCTAAAATTATTTTGTTTTGTGTTCATTTGTTTGTCATCTATTTCTCCAAAATAAAATTAAGCTCCCTGAGAGCTGTGAATTGTGCTTCTGCGCTTGGTATATATAGATCAGGCATTCAGTTATGAATGAATAAATTAATTAATGACAGAGTGAATGAATGTATGTAAATGATCACATATGCTGGACAATGTGACAGGAGCGTAATGAATCAGCCACAGAACCTGAACATAAGGAAGTAAAAACTAATTCATCATTTTAATGGCCAGCATACAAACCTCTTTTATCTTCAAGGTAGTTCCCCAAGATACGTATTATTGGCTAGATGTAGAGTCCTCACCGTTTATTATAAGAGCAAAAGGAAATAAATCACTGGTTTCTCTGCCCTGTGGCAGCCTGGACATGGACCTATGACTTGTTCCCAGCCAGTCAAATGCTTCTGCTTTAATCCCTGAAGGAGGAACAAACAGAAACATATTCTAATCATATGACATCTTGTCTCAAGAATCTATCAGTGATTCCTACTTAGGCATTTCCTGTTAACTACAAATTTCTTGGGCTGGTATTCCAGATTTTTCAGATCTTTCTTGTCTAGTGTTAGAGTAATTAAGTAAGAGGTGGAGTTAGAGTTCAGTGTCAGGCATGTCCAACAAAAAACCCAGGTTCTGCCCATATACTCTACTGTCTTTTCAACAAATGTTACCTGTGGCATCTAAAGAGTAAATCAGTCAAAAGGGAATTAGTCAGTTGGGCAGATGTGTTTTTATTTTACCCTACGATCCAGGGAACTAATATTATAGCCAAACATATAGTTTAGATACATCTTTTAAATTTTCTTATTGTGCTTTTAAAATTGGAATTTTCTGTTTCATTATTATTAATGTGCCTTAGCAATGTTTAACCCAGGAAGTTTCTTTTCATCTCCTATAATAAAAGCAAGCAACTAGAAAAATGAGCAACTTGAAGAAGTAGTGGACTTGTCTGCCTTGTTCCATGAAACTGATTTTGTTATTTTATAAGTCTTTAAATCACAAAGTAATAAACATTATATATAAAGGTGTAAATGTTTTAATTGAACTGTTTTATTAGAAATTCATCACTAATTTATTAAACGAGAAGTAAAGGATGCCTAGAAACAACATTTTAAAAGGTCTTTATAGAATGGCAGTAATCATTTCTAATACAAGATCACAGAATTTACAGTTCAGTTCAACCAGATGAATATAAAAATATGCATTTCTATTGGCTAGTCAATCTTTAAGGGTACATCCGATCTGAGACATCGTTCTTGCTTATGGAGAAGAGCAATGAACCTACAGAGGACAACAATACAGGTAAGAAAGGTTATATTTAAATGGCTCAAGTCTTTCATTACTGATGGCATAAATGAAATAATAATGACAATTCACCATGCATAGGTCTTAGTGTTATATTAGCCTTTGGTTAAGAGTCTGATTCTAGATCAATATTGGCCATTCAAAAAGTAATAATTTAGTAGGTGATTTGAGAGATAATATTTTTTCATAAAATATTTTCTATTAGTAGAGAGTGATTATATAGTATAGTAGTAAAATAGATTATGAATAGAAAGGCAGATAATAGAAGATAGATAAAACTTCAAAAAAAATTAAGTTTTCTGATATGATATTGAACGTAACACTAATTTTTCTGGATATAGTTTTCAGTATATAGAAACTGATGAAACCTGAGAAATATTTCAATTTACAATTTCTGCAATTTATCTCAAGACAACAGGAAACCACTGAATGGTCACCCAGTGTAAGGTAAGTTTAAGTCATGTCATTACTTATTAAGGTTGCAGAAAACACATGTCAGCAGCATTTAATATACCTACTCCAGTAATTACCAGTATTGGTTTGCAACACTCCAGGATTTTTTTATTTCAGGGTGTCATAAAATTGCCAAAACAAAATTAACATACCTAACTTTAAAAAATACATCTTAAGAATCTATAAAAGAACTCAGGGAATACAGCCAAGTGAGTAATAAAATACTACAACCCCAAAATTGCAGGAACTGAACAATCTTTACTTATTATAGCTAAGAAAATTGAGGGCTAAATGTCAGGGAAATTACTGCTGGAATCAATAAAAAGATTATTTGCCTGATGCTATAGCTCCATCCAGTGGCAGCTAATGATGACCTAGACTAGCAGAACTCTAGCCAAAGAAGAGAGCAAATAATAGAACTCAATGGAGAAGGGGCTTTCTTGAAGGATCAGGCCCCAATCACACTAGGACTGCCTTGTACCAACATGCATTATCATTATCTCAGAGTATCAAAGACTCTCAAAGCTGGAAGACCATTTAGAATAAGGAAACCAAATCATTCAAGACACCATAGTTATGTCTACAATGTGTGAGAAATCCAGTGTAAAGTGATCCACCGTTCAGATATTCCACACTACATAAATAAGAACCCCAAGACTGACTTTTCCATTGTATATTCTTGGGTAACATGTATCTCTGAAATTAGAATCTGAGTATTTTGGCTTCATTGTGTTTTCTCTAACTGATGTCCATGACATTTCTTGTGAAATATTACTCTTATCAGGATATAAGGTCGATGAAGAAGAATCTTTACCTGATTCCACAGTTGTACCCCAGCCTCAAAACTGTGTCTGTCCCATATTATGTTCTCACAGATATTTATTGAATTAATAAAAATTTTGAATATTTTTTAAATGTGATTTTTTTTACTCTATGTTCACAAAAACCTTTGCAATTCTAATAAAAGCAAACCCTTTCTCCCAAAATATGCACATATCTGGGAGGCAGAGCAAGATGCTGAACAGAAGCCTCCAGCAATTGCCCACCACTGTCCCCCACCCTCGCAGGAACATGAAATTGAACAACTATCCACACAAGAAAGTACTTTTATATCACCAAAAATCAGGTGAGTGATCACAGTAACTGGTTTAACATGATATCAAGGAAAGAGGCACTGAAGAGGTAGGAAAGACAATCTTGAATCACTTACAACATCCCTCCACCATCCCTGGCAGCTGTGTAATGCAGAGAGAGAATCTGTGCATTTGGGGGAGGGACAGCACAGTGATCATGGGACTTTGCATTAAAACTCAGCGCAGCCCTGTCACAGTGGAAAGCAACAGGAGCCAGAAATCAGCCAGCACCCACAGAGGGAGCATTTAGACCAGCCCTAGCCAGAGGGGAATTGTCCAGCCCAGTAGTCGGAACCTGAGCTCCAGCTAGCCCCACCACCTTGGAGCTAAAGTGCTCTGAGTTCTAAATAAACTTGAAAGGCAGTTTAGGCCACAAGGACTGCAATTCCTGGGCAAGTCTTGGGGCTGTGCCAGGCTCAGAGACAGTGTACTTGGGAGCATGTGAACTAGTGAGACACTAGCCAAGGGGGCCAAGGGAGTGCTTTTGTCACCCCTCCCCCAACCACAGGTAATGAAGCTCACAGCTCCTGGAGAGAGAGGAGAGAGTTAAGAGAACTTTGTCTTGCAACTTGCATACCAGCTCAGCAACACTTACATGGGGCACCAGGCAAAGCTTTGAGGCCCCCATTCCAGGTCTTAGCTCCTGGAAAACATTTCTAGTCACAGCCTGGCATATTTAAAATGCTGAAGGAAAAAAACATTTACCTTGAACAGTATATCCAGTGAAAATATCTTTCAAACATGAAGGAGAAATAAAGCCTTTCCTAGATAAAGAGAAACTGAGAGATTCCATCAACACCAGACCTGTCCAACAAGAAATGCCAAAGGGAGTTCTTTAATCCAAAAGAAAAGGATATTAATTAGCAATAAGAAATAATCTGAAGGTACAAAACTCATTGGCAATAGTAGGTACACAGACAAACACAGAATATTATAACACTGTAATTGTGGTGTGTAAACTAATCTTATCTTGAGTAGAAAGACTAAAAGATGAACCAATCGAAAATAATAACTATGACAGCTTTTCAAGACATAGACAGCATAATAATATATAAATAGAAATAACAAAATATTAAAAAGCAGGAACATGAAGTTAAATGTAGAGTTTTTATTAGTTTTTTGTTTGCTTGTTTGTTTTTGCAATTAGTGTTGTCACCAGCTTAAAAATAATGAGTCATAAGATATCATTTGCTAGCCTCATGGTAACCTCAAATAAAAAAAAACATACATCAGATACACAAAAAATAAAAATCAAGAAATCAAACATACCACCAGAGAAAATCACCTTTATTGAAAAGGAAAGAAGGAAAGAGGGAGGGAAAGACGGAAGGAGAGAAAGACAGAGGGAGGGAGGGAGGGAGGGAGGGAGGCAGGGAGGCAGGCAGGCAGGCAGGCAGGCAGGCAGGCAGGCAGGCAGGCAGGCAGGGCACACCCAAAATTAGTCAAAGAAATAAATATCAGAGCAGAAATAAATGAAATTGAGGCAAAAAAACAAAAGATCAACGAAACAAATAGTTGGTTTTTTGAAAAAATAAAAAAAAATCAACAAACCTTTAGACAGACCAGGAAAAAAAGAGAGATGACCCAAATAAATAAAATCAGAGATGAAAAAATGAGAAACTACAACTGATACCACAGAAATTCCAAGGATCATTAGTGGCTGCTATGATCATCGATCATAGTATATACTAGTTACTCATAAACTGTAAAACCTAGAAGAAATGGATAAATTCCTGGATACATACAACCTATCAAGACTAAACCATAAAGAAATTCAAAACCTGAATTAGCCACTAATAAGTAATGAGATCAAAGCCATAATAAAGAATATCCCAGCAAAGAAAAGCCTGGGCCTGATGGCTTCACTGCTGAATTTTACCACACATTTAAAGAAGAACTAATACGACTTGTATTCAAATTATTCCAAAAAATAGAGGAGGAAGGAATACTTCCAAACTCATTCTACACAGCCAATATTACCCTGATAGCAAAACCGGACAAAGACACATCAAAAAAAACAAAAAAAAAGCAAACTACAGGCCAATATCCCAGATGAACATTGATGTAAAAATCCTCAACAAAATACTAGCAAACCAAATTCAACAACACATTAAAAAGATCATTCATCATGCCCAAATAGGATTTATCCCAGGGATGTAAGGCTGGTTCAACATACGGAAATTGCCAATAGCCAAGATTTGGAAGCAACCTAAGTATCCACCAACAGACAAATGGATAAAGGAAATGTTGTACATATCCACAATGGGGCACTATTCAGCCATTAAAAAGAATAAGATCCTGTCATTTTCAGCAACATGGATGGAACAGGACATTATGTTAAGTGAAATAAGCCAGGCCCAAAAAGACAAATTTTGCATGGTCTCACTGATTTGTGGGAGCTAAAAATTAAAACAATTGAACTAATGGAGATAGAGAGTAGAATGATGGTTACCAGAGGCTAGGAAGAGTAGTAGGGGTGGGGAAGAAGTGGGGATGGTTAAAGGGTACCAAGGTATAGTTAGAATGAATAAGAGCTAGTATTTGATAGCACAGCAGGGTGACATACAGTCAACAATAATTTATTGTACATTTTAAAACAACTAAAAGAGTATAACTGGAATGCTTGTAACACAAGGAAATGATAAATGCTTGGGGTCATGAATACTCCATTTAACCTGATGTAATTATTATGCATTGTATGCCTCAAAATATCTCATGTACCCCTTAAATATATATACCTACTATGTACTCATAAAAATAAAAAATAAATTTTTAAAATGCACATGTAATTATTCAGTTTCAAGATTTCTTGTATTCTCTGTCACTCATGTTTATAGGCCACAGTTTAACATGTGCTGCTTTAAAAAGAACACTAAGACCACTAAGACCAAGTTCATAATTAGGAAATTGACATAATTAATTGCATGCATTATTTTTGCCTGCATTGCTTCTGCTACTGTCTTAGCTCCTGATCCCCTGATCCAAGAAGATCAGAGCTGGGTTTATTGATAGTGAAAGTAAAATTAGTGGGAAAAAACAGATTAGTTATATTTGAAAGTCACACTTAGCATCAAAAAATATATGAGAAGAGCATAGAAAAAAAGATAAATCTGAGAACATTTAGTCTTGCATTGTCCTCTTCTGTTCTTCACAGCAAGAACATCACAATGTTTATATTGGGATCACAATGATTCCCAAAGTGATCACCGTGATCACAGCCTGAGAAAGATGAGCTGGGCCCAAGGTCCAAGGGGCCTGAAGAAGTCAATCCTGTGATTTTACCCCGCAGAAGAGCCAAGTCAATGCCCAGGCACTTCCCCAAAAGATATTAAGGCTGCTGCCCAAAATGCCCTGTCACCAATGCAGTGTCTGGGCTCCAGGTTCTGAAATCCTTTTGCACCAGTAGTTGAATCACCTCCCTTTTCTGTGCCCTATGTTTTGCAACATTTCCTTACCTTCATCTTTGTTGTAAAACATAAGAACTTTCTAATTATTCCTTCCTAGGGCATTTCTCTGAACAGACCTAATCATAGTCCACGACAACCATCACTTTAATTCAATTGAACCAATTTATTGAGATACTTCAGGTGTCCAAGACTCTCTACTAAACATTTTGAGCATGGAAAAATAAATTAGAAGCATTCCTGCCTTAAACAAGATATACTTCCATCTAATGGGAGAGATGGATGATAAACAAATAATTATAACACAAGAGAGACTGGCATAAGTGCCAAATAGAAGTACAAGTAACAATATGTAGAAAGTGAAGAAAGAAGCTAATAATTCTGGTGGGCTAAGATTCCTAGGAGGAAATATCATTTGAGCAGGGTACCGATAGTGAGGAGGATTTAAACATACAAAGAGTGAGAAAGGGGGAACTAAGATAGCATCCCAGCCAAAAAAAAGAGACAGAGAGAGAGTATATCAAAAACACAGAGGCACAAAATTGCCTGGAATGCTTGAGAAATAGGGAAATAGACCACTATAGCTAGTTTTAGAAGTCAATGCTAGGCTCGGCACGGTGGCTCATGTCTGTAATCCCAGCACTTTGGGAGGCTGGATGGAACAGGACATTAAGTGAAATAAGCCAGGCCCAAAAAGACAAACTTTGCATGGTCTCACTAATTTATGGGAGCTAAAAATTAAAACAATTGAACTAATGGAGATAGAGAGTAGAACGATGGTTACCAGAGGCTGGTAACCTGAGGTCAAGGGTTCAAGACCAGCCTGGCCAACATGGCGAAACCCTGTCTCTACTAAAAATACAAAAATTAGCTGGGCATGGTGGTGAGCATCTGTAGTCCCAGCTACTCAGGAAGCTGAGTCAGGAGAGTCACTTGGACCCAGGAAGCAGAGGTTGCAGTGAGCTGAGTTTGCCCAGTTGCACTCCAGCCTGGGTGACAGAGAAAGACTTTGTCTCAAAAAAAAGAAGTCAATGCTAGAAAAATAATTTGGGCTTTAAATTCCACATCAAGAAACTTGCACTTTCTGATACAAGCTAGAGAGAAAGATAACAAATTATTAAAACAGTAAAGGCACTATTATCTGCCTATATTCTAAACAGAATAGAACTTTCTGGAAAGATAGCAATGTCCTATATTTGCACTGTCCAATATAGTCGCTAATTAGCCACAGGAGTACTTAAAATGTGGCTAGTGTAACTGAGGAACAAAATTTTTTATTGTATTTAATTATAGTTTATTTAAATTTAAATAGTGACATACAGCTAGTAGATTCTCTGCTGTACAGTACACTGGTACAATGTTTTCTTCTGTGACAATGTGAAAGATGGATTGAAGGGGTCAGAAATTATACATGGGGAGGTCTGTAAGAAAGTCATTACAATGGTGCAAATGAGAGACCAAACTACGAAAGAATGTCTAAGAGTGATATTTGGAAAGGAAACCAATAGGACTTGGCAATTGATTAAAAATAGATGATAAGCAAGAAGATTGAATCAAAGATGGTTCCGAGATTCTGGACTTTGTGATATGGAGAACAGTTGTGGCACTATGTATACTTTCCCAAGAAAAGTAGTTAGAAGGGGAAGATCAGTTCAATTTCTGACACATCAATTTTTTTTTTTGAGATGGAGTCTCACTCTGTTGCCCAGGCTGGAGTGCAGTGGTGCAATCTCAGCTTACTGCAACCACCATCTCCCAGGTTCAAGTGATTCTCCTGCCTCAGCATCCCGAGTAGGTGGGACTACAGGCACGCACCACCATGCCCAACTAATTTTTTTTTTTTTTCGGATTTTTAGTAGAGACAGGGTTTTGCCATATTGGCCACGCTGGTCTTGAACTCCTGACTCAGGTGATCTGCTCACCTCAGCCTTCTGAGAAGGAACCTGAGAAGGGCTGAGACCTGGGCCTGCAATCAGCTGGGAAGTGGGTGTTGGGAGGTGGAGTAGCAGATCTCCACTGCCCTGCCACCCACATCTGGCCTGCCCAGCCAATTGGTTATGCTTTTTGCATCATACCTAAAAAACACACCATCTGACTTTGTTCTGAACATTGTACTTTAAGATACATTTAGGCTGTTGTGGAGGTCTAAGTATATATTGGTTGTTACTGTTCTATGGCATTTCCATTTGAAAAAATATGCCACAATTAGTTGAATAATTATTCTGTTATTAATATTTGTGTTGCCTTCTTATGCTCCACTTAGTGTTTCTGATGCTACTACTCACCTCCTTTCATTGCTTCTTATTCTGTGCCTGCCTTAAAATGTGGATGTTGCCCAAGGTTCTGTTGTCAGGTATCTTCTTTTTTCTGTTCTTTCTTTTCCTCTTTTCTGTTTTATCTATCTGATCTCTTCATGTCAGGGGTAAATAACTATCTATTCCTTTGGGTAGGATCCTGGAGACCTGACTCAATCAGATTATATTCCCAGGGAGCTTGGCTTGGGTAGGTTATGAAGTTGAGTTATATATTTGTTTGAAACGGAGTCTCGCTGTGTTGCCCAGGCTGGAGTGTGGTGGTGCAATCTCGGCTCCCTGCAACCTCCACCTCCTGGGTTCAAGCTATTCTGCCTCAGACTGCTGAGTAGCTGGGATTATAGGCACCCGCCACCATGCCCGGCTAAGTTTTGTATTTTTAGTAGACATGGGGTTTCACCATGTTGGCCAGGCTGGTCTGGAACTCCTGACCTCAGGTGACCCACCTGCCTCAGCCTCCCAAAGTGCTGGGATTACAGGCATAAGCCACCACACTCAGCTGAGGTTGAGTCATATTTTTACCAAAGCTTATGGTGTAGAGATTCCTTTCTGTACATCTGAAAAGCATAAAGCTGAGGATAAGCAGGCTGAAATAGAAGCATAATCTATAGATGAATATGACAGCCACATTCATGTAGAAGGCAGAGCAATTTAGGGGAACTAGTGACTGAGAAATGTTATAGCTGATGGATCAGAAACAAGTCTGGGGGGATTTATTGCAGTTGAGACTATGATAGATTTTACTTTGATTCTTATGCCTACTTGCTTGGGTTATTCAAAAATTAAAGAGTATGTTGAAAGGGCTGACAAAATGGACAATGGCCACCTAATCTAGACATGACTTATTCTTTGAGGTCTAAGAGCGATTTTTTAACCATCTTCTAGACATTGTTGCAGAATGACTTTTGTACATCAAATTTGACATGTCAAGTTGGGCGTGATGGCTCATACCTGTAATCCCAGCACTTTGGGAGGCTGAGGCGAGGAGATCACCTGAGGTCAGGAGTTCAAGATCAGCCTGGCCAACATGGTGAAACCCTGTCTCTACTAAAAATACAAAAAAAAAAAAAAATTAGCTGGGCATGGTGGTGCATGCCTGTAGTAAATGAAAGATAAATTATTAAGAAAAACATAAGGAGTGGGTTCAGAAAAAGAAGAAAGAGAAAAGGCCCCCAAAATAATGAAGAAATGAAGGAACTAGAGAAAGAATATTTGCAAGAAAAAGCAAATAAAAACATTAAGAATAGTTGTAAAATGCTAAAGAGTGTGAAAAGGAAAAAGACAAGCAACAGCAAAGTGAATTATAGGGGAAAAATGAAATAGCAAGAAAAAGGTTTAAGGAATGGTTGGAAAATACTAAAAATAAAACTCATCTCACTCCAAAGAGCTATGGTTATGCCAAAGGAAAACATAGAGGTTTTTACAGAGGAAATTCCTATTCAGAACCAGGCTTTTATAATTCAATTCCACGAAAACCAATACATAAACCCCTCCTAAAGAAACTAAGGATCCATCAGGAAAGAAGAATGAAAGATCCATGACAAAGCAGCCAAAAAGGACATCATTTCTGGCAATTAATAAAAGCAGAACAATCTTTACCTTAGAACTCTATGCAGAATACAAAGACAGTATACATAGGAAATAGCGTGCTTTTACCTGGAGCTATTAAATTTTAAAATTAGAAATGGTTTTTTGCTGCTCAATCAGTGCTCAGCATTTGATGTGATTATTGATAAGGTCTGATTTTTGAATTCGTATATGGAGTCCTTAGAGTTAATTGAGGAAGACATTTTATAAATTTTAGTTTTTATAAATATCTCAAGGTTGATCTTGGCATGTTGTTTCACAGGATACATAACTGAATATCTAACAATTGTGTTGTGTTTGTATTTAGCTGGTATTAAAACTACACTGTAATACCAAAAAAAAAAAACAAAAAATAAGCACAAGCAACCAAAGAAAAAAAATGATAAATTGGACTTTGAAAAAGTTAAAAACTTTTGTGCATCAAGAAAGTGAAAAGACAATACACAGAATGGAAGAAAATAGCTGCAAATTATATATCTGATAAAGGTCTAGTGTCCAGAATATACAAAGAACTTTTACAACTCAACAATAAAGACAACTCAATTTTAAAATGGTGAAAGGATTCTAACAGACATTTTTCCAGGGAAGATATACAAATGGCCAATAACCACATGAAAAGAAATACTCAACATTTTTAGTCATTAGGGAAATGCGTATCAGAACGAAAATGAGCACCACTTCACATTCACTAAAATGGCTATAATTTTAAAAAAACATATTAATAACAAATGTCAGTGTGGAGGTGGAGAAATTGTAACTTTCATAAATTTCTGGAAGGAATGCAAAATGATGCAACCAGTGTGGAAAATACTTGGGCAGTTACTCAAAAAGTGAAACATAATTACCATGACCCAGCAATTCCACTCCCAAGAATGTACCTGAGAAAACTGAAAATATGATCAAACAAAAACTTGTACACAATTGTTCATAGCACTATTATTCATAATACCCAAATAGTGCAAACAACCTAAACATCCATCAACTGAAGAATAGTTAAACAAAATGTAGTATATTCATAACATGAAATACTTACTCAGCTATAAAAAGGAATAAAGTATTGACATATGCTACAACATGGATGAATCTTGAAAATATAATGCTAAGTGAAACCTAGGCAATACCATTCAGGACATAGGCATGGGCAAGGACTTCATGTCTAAAACACCAAAAGCAATAGCAGCAAAGGCCAAAATTGACAAATGGAAGCTAATTAAACTAAAGAGTTTCTGCACATCAAAAGAAACTACCATCAGAGTGAACAGGCAACCTACAGAATGGGAGAAAATTTTTGCAATCTACCCATCTGACAAAGGGCTAATATCCAGAATCTACAAAGAACTTAAGCAAATTTACAAGAAAAAGTCAAACAACCCCATCAAAAAGTGGGCAAAGGATATGAACAGACACTTCTCAAAAGAAGACATTTATGCAGCCAAAAAACACATGAAAAAATGCTCATCATCACTGGCCATCAGAGAAATGCAAATCAAAACCACAATGAGATACCATCTCATACCAGTTAGAATGGCGATCATTTAAAAGTCAGGAAACAACAGGTGCTGGAGAGGATGTGGAGAAATAGGAACACTTTTACACTGTTGGTGGGACTGTGAACTAGTTCAACCATTGTGGAAGACAGTGTGGCGATTCCTCAGGGATCTAGAACTAGAATTACCATTTGACCCAGCCATCCCATTACTGGATATATACCCAAAGGATTATAAATCATGCTGCTATAAAGACACATGCACACGTATGTTTATTTCGGCACTATTCACAATAGCAAGGACTTGGAACCAACCCAAATGCCCATCAATGATAGACTGGATTAAGAAAATGTGGCACATATACACCATGGAATACCACGCAGCCATAAAAAAGATGAGTTTATGTCCTTTGCAGGGACGTGGATGAAGCTGGAAACCATCATTCTCAGCAAACTATCCCAAGGACAGAAAACCAAACACCACATGTTCTCACTCATAGGTGGGAATTGAACAATGAGAACACTTGGACATAGTAAGGGGAACACCACACACCGGGGCCTATCATGGGGTGGGGGGAGGGGGGAGGGATAGCATTAGGAGATATACCTAATGTATATGACAAGTTAATGGGTGCAGCACACCAACATGGCACATGTATACATATGTAACAAACCTGCGCATTGTGCACATGTACCCTAGAACTTAAAGTATAATAATGAAATTAAAAAATAAAGAAAATATAATGCTAAGTGAAAGAAACCAGACACAAAAGACCACATGTGATTCCACTTATAGGAAATGTCCAGAATGGGCAAATCCTGACACAGAAAGGAAATTATGGAAAGAGAGAATTTGGGACAAACTGCTAATAAATACAGGATCTGGGGGAAGGAGGGAATTGAAAAGTTCTAGAATTAACTAATGGTGATAGTTGCACAACTTGGTGAATCCACTA
Organism: Homo sapiens; assembly: GCF_000001405.40. Classification (NCBI taxonomy): domain Eukaryota; kingdom Metazoa; phylum Chordata; class Mammalia; order Primates; family Hominidae; genus Homo; species Homo sapiens. The sequence goes on from NC_000004.12 coordinate 112,070,932, forward strand.
AAAACCATAAAGTGTACACTTTAAACTGGTGAATTTTATATTGTGCAAGGTATATGTCAATTTTTAAAAATACTCTTGAAAAAGTCAAGCCAGTGAGTACCTTTAGTGAGGTTGGTAATTAAGAAAGAGCTTTCAGCGAGCCCCAGATGGGCTTTGGGGAAGCTGGAGCAGCATTTTTTAAAATGTGGATTGTGGTTATTTGTTTTAAAATAGTTTATTAAGCTGTGTATTTACGCTTTAAGTGCAATTCTGAATGTGTCTTATATTTTATAATAATTTTTAAGAGAGAAAAAGGTGGAGATAGTAAACTGGCATCTATATATTGTTTCCAAAAAGAAATTAAAGTAGTGAAATTAACATGAAATTTCATTTCTTTGGAAATGAGATAAATTAATGTATATTTAAGGTAATGATTTTTATGTATACTACATACATGTATTGGTATCATAAACATATTCTTATATTTCAAATAGGTATCTTAAAAGATGTGTATTGTTGATGAAAGGATTGTTTAAAATTGAAATAAAATCAGAGAAACAAGGATTGGAAACAAATAACACTAACCTCAAAAATTTACGAACAATAAAAAGGTAATTGTATACTTCCCTAAAAAGTAAAAACAATGACAAATTAATTTGTAACTAAATGAACAGTTTTGTGGACCATGAGAAAAAAAATCAGAGAACTAGATAGTTTTATTTCAAAAATATACACTTAAAAATTATCTGCAATATATCCAACTTGTATTCTTTGCCCGCCCACCCACTTTCCTCTTTCCTTTCCCTTCTCTTTCTCCTCCTCCTCCTCTTCTTTCTTCTTTTATTATTTAATACTCAAAGGGTGCCAAAAAGGAAAATAGAATAAAGTAGAATAAAGAAAGCAAAAATAAGGAATGTCAAGAGGAAAACTTTCACTTAATTTTACCATTTCTTGACATTAAGTAATGGGTACACTCATAAAAGTTTCTTGTAAATCAAATTACTTTAAATATTCTGGAAAAGTAATTGCAAAATGTATACCTAATAATAGGGCATTCTTCTTAAAATTGAAGCATTCTATTACAGTTCAAATAAACATTTCTGAAATTTGTACAATTGGGATTATTACTCTATATTTATTTAATTTTCCTAAAGAAGGATAACTTTGGTGATATGTTTACTGGATAGATGTATTATTTTTTCCATAATTGAAAATTTTAGTTTCAATCTTGGAAGGCAATATAAAGTAATAGTTATGAACAGTCATTCTAGAATCAAATATTGTTTTATATTCTGGCCACATTATCAATAAGCTATGTGATTTTTGATAAAGTAATTAACTTATTTGTGCTTCAGTCTCCTTATCTTTAAAAAGAACATAATAATAGTACATACAGCATTGGGTTTTTGTGAGGAATAAATGAAATAAATACGTGTTTGTGTGTGGTTGGGTGTGCAGAGAGAGTTTACAATAAAATTTCAGCACATAATCAGTACTAGTAGAACTAGTGGTAATAATATCTATTACTTCATATACTATGAATCTTTCTCTAAAAAGCCTACCATATCTATGTGTATTAGTCTATTTTCACACTGCTATAAAGAAATATCCAAGACTGGGTAATTTATAAAGGAAAGAGGTTTAATTGACTCACAGTTCCACATGGCTGCAGAGGTCTCCGGAAACTTACAATCATGGCAGAAGCTGAAGGGGAAGCAAGCAACTTCTTTACAAGGCAGCAGGAGAAAGAAGAATGAAGGAGGAACTTCCAAACACTTATAAAACCATCAGATCTCGTGAGCACTCACTCACTATCATGAGAACAGCATGGGGGAAACCACCCCCATGATCCAATCACCTCCCTCCCTCCACACGTGGGGATTACAGGTCCCTCCCTCAACACATGGGGATTACAATTCGAGATGAGATTGGGTGGGGACACAGAGCCAAATCATATCACTATGAAGGGTGTTGTGGGAAGTCAGGGACCCTGAACAGAGGGACCAGCTGGAGCTGAGGCAGAAGAACATAAATTGTGAAGATTTCATGAACATTTATCACTTCCCAAAATTAATACTCTTGTAATTTCTTATGCCTGTCTTTAATCTCTTAATCCCATTATCTTTGTAAGCTGAGAATGTACGTCACCTGAGGATCACTATTGTACAAATTGATTGTAAAATATGTGTGTTTGAACAATATGAAATCAGTGCACCTTAAAAAAAAAACAGAATAACAGTGATTTTCAGGGAACAAGGGAAGACAACCATAAGGTCTGACTGCCTGCAGGGTTGGGCAGAATACAGCCCTATTTTTCTTCTTGCAGGGAGCCTATAAACGGACGTGCGAATAAGAGAAATATCACTGAATTCTTTTCCCAGCAAGTAATAACCCTGGGGAAGGAATGCATTCCTTGGGGGAGGTCTATGAACAGCCGCTCTGGGAGTGTCTGTCTTATGCAGTTGAAATAATGACTGAAATACGCTCTGGTCTCCTGCAGTGCCCTCAGGCTTACTAGGATTGGGAAATTCCAGCCTGGTAAATTCTAGTCAGACCAGTTATCTGCTCTCAAACTCTGTTTCCTGTTAAGATGTTTATCAAGACAATACGTGCATGGCAGGACATAGACCCTCATCAGTATTTCTAATTTTGCCTTTGCCTTGTGATCTTTATTGCCCTTTGAAGTATGTGATCCTTGTGACCTACTCCCTGTTCATACACCCCCTCCCCTTTTAAAATCCCTAATAAAAACTTGCTGGTTTTGTGGCTCGGGGTCATCATCACGGTCCTACCAATATGTGATGTCATCCCCAGAGGCCCAGCTGTAAAATTCCTCTCTTTGTACTCTTTCTCTTTATTTCTCAGACCAGCCAACACTTAGGGAAAATAGAAAAGAACCTATGTTGAAATACTGGGGCTGGTTCCCCCAGTAAATGGGAAAAAAAAATCCTTCTTACCTAAGATCCTTTTTTCCAACCAAAATCCAATCCAAGAAAAAAGTATCCTTTAAATCCAAACTCATTTCCTTAGCTATTAATGCAGTTTATCATAGCTACATATTGAAAGTTACAAATATGCCAGGCTTTGTCCATGTAGAACATCATTTTTTAATCTGTCAGCTTCTGACATTAATAACACTGCAAAAAGAAGGACAGGAAATTACTCCTTTGACTCCTTCATGATAAAAAAAAATTAAAATTTTATCTGATAAAATGAAACACCCAACATAGACCTCTTATTTTATCCCATAATACACACAAAGCAGTAATTTTACTTGAACATTGCTTCCTGATGTGCCTAGTTCTATAGTTAATTCCAAAAGTCCTATATGTTCAAGCAATGCTTCTCGTGTTGATTTTCTCATGTAGGTATGATCTGTTTTACTCACTGAAGCCAGAGTGGGTTTTTTTTTTTTTTAATATCTGATTATGGCACTTAACTGCTTAAAATCCTTCAATGTCCGTACATTGTTTTTGGAATAAGAAGCTAAATCCTGGATACAACCTTCAAGGCCTTACATGATTTAGTCTCAACTTCCTTTTCAGCCTCATTGCTAATTACTGTCTACTTCGATTGCTGAGCCTTGACCCCCAAACCTGCTTCCAGTTCCCTGTATGCTTCTCCTTCATAGCACTTAACACAATTGATGTTAATTATTTGTGCTAAGGGTTTGCCTAATACCACTTACCATACTAGATTGTAAGCTCCATGAAAATAGCAAGTATAAACATCTTACTTGCTATTGTATCCCGGCATCTAATCTGGTACGTGGTGCATACTCAATAAATATTTATACAGCACATGAATACCTAAGGGAGAATCTCATATTTTTATTTCTTTGCATTCCCTCAAGTTAAAACACAAGAAATATTATGATGAATTTAAATGTCAAATAAGACACCTAATACATATACTTAGCCTAGAACTGTGCCAGACTCAGTAATTATTTATTGCTTATTATATATTGAACACATATATCACTTCTTTGCCTTTTGACTAAGATCATGTGTAAGATATATTAAATGATATTATTACTGGTCAATATCTGACTATAAAGTCATAAAACATTTACTAAAAATTGATACTAATATTAAGCCTTCCTGAAATAGTCCTATTGAATTTCCATAAATAAGAGGAAAACTTAAATGAAAGTTTGCTATTTTAACTTCTGTGGCATTTAATCAAAACAATTCAGTAGTAATGTAACTAGAATGGCCCATATAACTGGCTTGGAATGCATGTTTGGTCATATCTTGTATATTTCCATGGAATCACCCTCTCCCCCACTTGTCTGTATTAATAGAAAATCCATTATCTCTCTCTTGAGACCTACCCTTTCCCACTCTTGAGTCCAGTGGCTTACTCACTCTAAACTCCTGGCTGATGGAGAAAACTTCCTGGGCTCAGCAAGGCTGTTGTTTCTTTCATTGCCACTAGATGTCGTTGTTGAAACCTAATATACATTCACAATCTGATGGCGGTGGCATGTCTATCCTCAGCAAAATCCTTTACAGACCCAGACCCTGTATAACTGCACACTTGAGTGTAAATCAGGGCTCTTCAATCTCCTACTCAGATGTCCAGTTTTCTTCTCAAAGCATGAAAATCAGGCTAGGGTGGCTGAGTCTAGAGGGGTTTACAGCCCTGGTAACATATTATGTCAGAACCAACTTACCCCATGACCTGCAAACAAAGGGGCCCCAGTTCAAATATGTCTCCTTGAAATATTTTGTTTATCCATACTGTGTTTGAAATTTCATATAAAAATTTTCACACAGGTCGGGCACAGTGGCTCACGCCTGTAATCCCAGTATTTTGGGAAGCCATGGTGGGCAGATCACTTGTGGTCAGGAGTTTGAGACCAGCCTGGCCAACATGGTGAAACCTCCTCTCTAATAAAAATACAAAAATTTAGTTGGGCATGGTGGCGTGTGCCTGTAATCCCAGCTACTCAAGAGGCTGAGGCAGGAGAATCACTTGAACCCAGGAGGCAGAGGTGGCAGTGAGCCAAGATCACACCACTGTACCCCAGCCTAGGTGACAGAGCCAGACTGTCTCATTAAAAAAATTTTTTTTTAATTTATAAAAATTTTTCACCCAAACAAGCTGTATCTCCAGTTTCTCTTGGATAATACTGCAGTACTGAGCTCCTATCCGGCACAGCAACACCATCTGGGGCTGAATCGCAATAGCATCTCTCACCTCCTCCATATCAGATTGCTCAAGGCAAGCACTTCGCTGCAGTGCCCTCCACTCCACATTCCCTGATGCTGGTTGTTACTTGCCACAGCCAATTGAATGTATGGTGCCTGTTCTAGGCCCTGATGGCTGTGCAAGAGCAAAAATCCAGGGTCCACCTTTTCTCACAGGTTTTCCTATGTAGATCTGTGGCCCTTACCTGCCACTAGATGTGAGTCAAGGACACTTTTGTCCATCAGAGAAGTCTCCAGGACCTTTCCTCCCAAAAGGCTCACTGACCCCCAACCACCCAGTAACAAGCTCTGCAGACAAGACCAGCCACATAATTTGCAAAGCCCAATGCAAATGGAAATTCAGGACCTTTTGTTCAAAAGTCAGGAAAAGAGTGCCAGTAAAAGTACTACTATATTAAATGTTTTCCTTTCTTCCACAGTCTCTCTCTCTTCTCCTGTCATGGTGATTTTTATTTGCTATTTAAAGTTATGCTCCCTCAGGCATGGGAATACTTGCAGGGCAAGTACAGATCTTCACAGGTGCCCAGGAGCCCTGCCTGTGACCCTATGCATGTAGCCCACGACCTCTCTGCATCCACCAAACTGACAGGCTGTGCCCTACTCAGGGGCGGAAAGGTCATTCGCCTCTTCCCACAGTTCCATGGTCCCACTGTCCCAACCCAGAGTGGATGGGCAACCACCACGGAATGGGAACCTCCATGCCATGCATTCAGTGTCTGGATATGGTGGGCCAAAGACTTTCCTGCCAACTCACTCACCAAATGTACCGTGGAGTTACCAGCCTGGGGCAGGGACAGCCACCACCTCGCCCTGCCCTGAGATGCTGTGGGGCACACATCGACCCTGAACCTCCCATATCGGTGTTCAAGCCCCCACTAGGGGAAAAAGGCAATGGCAGAATGCTGCCCATCTCAACCCCAACACCCTTGAGGTGACCACCTCAAGCAGAAGGCACATCAGTTAATGGGGTACAAGCAGAGAGGAAGAGGCAGGGTGAGGCCAGGGTGTGAGGGCATAGGAAGCAGGTAGCCATGAACCCATCCTGGGGAAGTGGGAGGAGGGGGACCGAGAGGGAGCTGAGGCTCCATGTCCCTGGCACATGCTCCATTTTTCCATCGGACTTCACTTATGAAAATACAAATTCTAAAATAAAACTACAAGGAATGTCATGACAGCAACTGCTGAGCATTAAGCCCAGTTATGGGGCCCTTCTGAGCTGGGGATCCTGTGTGACTGCACTGTTCTCACACCCTAAGGCTGGCCCTGTCAGCAGACAGTGGGATCTGAAGAGAAGAAACTTTGAAGCCACAAAAAGTTTTTGTTACACACTTCCTCCAGGGCCATGGGGGCCTAATTACCATATGTTTCAGAACTTAGTGGGGCACTCAAGTGACTCTTCTCTGAAGAAGAAAAGTTGGTTTGATTTATTCTGTGCACCTAGTGTAAAGGTGGCTGGCAGTTTCTTCATGTACATGGTGTCCGACACAGTGGTGGAGCCCTACAACACCACTTTCTCAGTCTACCAGCTCATAGAAAATGCAGGTGAGACCTTTTGCATTGATAATGAAGCTCTCTATGACATCTGCTTCAGAACCCTAAAGTTGCCCACACCCAACTATGGTGACCTGAACCACCTGGTATCTGCCACCATGAGTGGGGTCACCACCTGCCTGCACTTCCCAGGCCAGCTGAATGCTGACCTTGGGAAACTGGCCATAAACATGGTCCCATTCCCCCACCTGCACTTCTTCATGCCTGGCTTTATCCTGCTGACCAGCCGGGGCAGCCAGCAGTACCGGGCCTTGATGGTGGCTGAGCTCACCCAGCAGACGTTTGATGCCAAGACTATGATGACTGCCGGTGCGACCCCTGCAAGGCTGCTACCTAATGGCAGCTGCCATTTTCAGGGGCCACATGTCCCGGAGGGAGGTGGACGAGCAAATGCTTAACAGCGAAAACTAGAACAGCAGCTACTTTGCTGACTGGATCCCCCACAATGTGAAAACAGCTTTCTGTGACATCCCACCTCCAGGGCTAAAAATGTCTGCTGCCTTCACTGGCAACAACATGGCCATCCAGGAGCTGTTCAGGCACATTTCAAAGCAGTTCACTGCCGTGTTCAGGCACAAGGCCTTCTTGCCCTGGTGTATGGGTGAGGACATGGATGAGATGGAATTCACTGAGGCCGAGAGCAACAGGAACAACCTGATGTTTGAGTACCAACAGTACCAGGAGGAGGGAGAGTTTGAGGAGTGGGCCCAGGAGGAGGTGGCCTAGTAGAGCCTTCTGTTAGATAGAAGTGATACGAATTCTTTATTCACTCCCAGTGTGTTCTATGAAAGCTATGTCTCTCTGTGTGTGCACTTCTTGTGTGCTCACCTGTATTAAAACATTTTCATAGTAAAAAAGAAAAAGTTATCTAAGTTATACACGTTTTGCATCACCAAGCACAGTAGTTAGGCAAAGAAAATCCTCTAAGAAATTCACACTTTTTGAAGAGGGTGATTAAATCATTAGTAAGATAAAATAACAGCAACAATAATAAAAGCACTGACACCTTCCCAAGCAACAGTGTTGCCACAGAGGAAAGCAACTGGCAAGTACATTTGTGCTCATTCAGATATGATTACTGCTCTTTGCTTTTAACTGGATTTGGTAGAAAAGAAAACTAATAAAAATACATGTTTTTTTAAGTGTCCAATGAAGAAAAAAAGGAAATATAGCATATTTTATTATGGGAAGTTATCAACTTATATTGGCCAAAATCTTCTGAAGATCACCAAGTAACAGAATAGTAAACCAGTCGGGTTACAACTTAATGAGGAGCCTCAGCTTTTCTTTCCCAGTAGAACACAGACTGATAAGGAGAAGAGATAACTATTTTCTTCCATTGTTTCCCTCCTCTTTTCATCTAAGCACATTACACTGAATATTCTTTTAGATTATATCACCCTGGACTTTACCTTCTCTTTCTTCTTTCGACAGCATGATGTTAGCACATTTGATATCCAGCATATTTCACTATGTTCCTGATTCATAATTATATTATTTGAATTTAATGTTTTGTTGATGTCAACATTGAGATTATCATAGTTTTCATTAAGCATGTTTCATGTTATAGTGTGTTTTGGTCACTGGCTCAGATTATACCAATAAGGATTCTAGAAAAATTACAAAGTATATTAGTTTTATGTGGCATAAATCACTGTGCAAACATTCAATTTTATTTTATAGTCTGTTTATTATTCCATCATTCCCTCCCATGATGTTAATAGTTTAAATTTTAATACTGGAATGCAACATACAACACACAAATGATTTCATCTGGCTATTTCAATAATAAGGAAACAAATTAAATAAAAATGAAAGGGAAGTTTTTGCCATCTGCTACTTTGAAGAACTATTATTAATGCATCATCTAATTATTGTACAACTGTGTGATTCTCAGCCTTTATGTTACTTTTTTTACCTTTTTGTGAAAAAAAAAGTCTTTTATAAAGGTTCTACCTTCAAAGAGCTCTGGAGTCCTCAATTCCAGGGGCTTCAGTATGCTTCAGTAACTGTCTAACCTCCTCAATTCCAGTGGATTCAATACACTTTAGTAAATCCCTCCCATCACCCTACTTTGAACCTTGTCAACTCTAACATTAACCCCAAAATACTACTCTCTGACAAGTTCTTACCCTGCCAGCCCTTGACTCATCCATTGATCCTTCCTGGCCTCAAGTCCTTCCCTGCCATACGGGACACTATGGTTTACTACTTGGCATATCATTTCTCTCTAACAAGTTCAATTCTCTAGAGCATGTGTTTGATTTCATAGGCCCTAATAAACAATTTCTCAATTTCTTTGTCCTTCTTTCTTATGTATTCACTTACCGTTCACTGCAAGCTCCCAATCTAACCCTAATCTCCTCCTTCTCAGCAGATGGTCTTGCCTTAGATACCACTGAATACTTAGTGAAGTCTCAACCATCTTTTTGTCATCCATGCTCAGAGTAAGAGGTATGTCTCTTCCCCATTAATTATCTACTTTACTCATCATCTCAGGCATCCCACAACTTTCCCTTCCCTCTCCTTCGAGAGCTTCCCCAACTATTTCTCTTCCCCTTTCCTGTGTGTTCAACCTCTTCCCCTTACTGGGTCCATTTTTCACATTATAAGCACGCTCAACTTGGTTCACTTAAAACAATGCAAGAAAAGACACCTTCTGATCCCACAATACCTGACCGGTTTCTCTAACACACACAGGGCTTACATTTCACATCTTATTTTCCCTACCTTGCCCTCATGCTACCTCTCTTCACCTAGTTAAATCCAACTCTTCTTTTGGATATTAGGACACGTATCAAACCTTGGGGAAATTATCCTGACTGCCCAAGCCTGATCAACTTCCATTGTCAAACACTTGCAATGAACTGTATTCCCTCTCTTCAGAGAATTGTTCTAATTTTAATTATACATACATTAACATGATTCATTTATTAACTTTTCTTTCCATTACTCTTTAAGGTTTCAGAGAGCAGGCATCATATTCTTTTAGAACAGCATTTTACCCTCAGTGTATTACACAGATCCTGGAATATATTTGGTGTTTGACAAATATTTGTAAATGAATGGATATGTTCATTGATTGTATCTCTTAAATCCTCTTCTAAAAGTATATTGTAGTTTGCCCATTGCTCTGGTATGCATGTGGGTGTCCCTTAAAATTCCTATGTTGGAAATTAACCCCCAGTGTGATAATACAGCCTGTAGGAGGTGATTAGGAGGTACAGTCTTTAGGAGGTGATTAAGTCATGAGGGCTTTGCCCTCATGAATAGAATTAGTGCTTTTATGAAAGAGGTTGAAGGGAGCTGCCTTGCCCTTCTGCCATGAGAGGACACAGCAATAAAGTGCCACTAATGAAACAGAGAATGAGCTCTCACTAGACACCAAACCTGCCAGTACCTTGTTCGTGGATTTCCCAGCCTCCAGAACTGTGAGCAATAAATTCTGTTGTTTAAAAATTACCTTATCTAAGGTATTTTGTTATCGCAGCAGGCATGGAGTAAGATGTATTCAGAAAAAAAAATATGAGTCTTTCAGGAAAATAAAACACCCAATTTTTTCTTCATTATTAGTGACGCTAAAAGGCAAAGAGCATGTACAAGGAGAAAAAAAAAAAGGCATTGGCTTAAGGATTGGGAAGCCAACTCCCAGTCTGTCTGCCGTGCTCAACCTCTTACACATTGTGGGAAACAGACCTGCATTTTTTTAAGGTTTTTCTGAAACCATCTAATTTTCAGAATATTGCCCATTAATGCAATTAATGGACTATTTCAGAAGAAAACTTTGAAAACTGTATTATTTCTCAAGAAATATTTTGAAATTATTTGTATCTATTGAGCACCTACTTAACAAATGCTAATTTGGCCTATGGACTTGCTTCTAACTATGCATTAGCTCATACATGCATAGCGACCAATATACCTGGATATAACTAAGATGCCACAGAAAAGGTTTCCTTTACCACAAGGAAGCACAACCAGCCCAATTCCAATTACACATGGAAACTAGAACTTGGATACCATTTATTTCTCGGGTGAAAAGATTAGGAATATATTGTAAAAAATGACGACAGAGTGTCCATTTCTAATGGGGAATTTTGACACTCTATTAATAATCAATTTTTCATGGATTTTCCATTTGTCTTTTTCCCAGAAGATGCCGTTATGGCATTTTCCACAGTGGTTTAAAAATGTGTATTTTCTAATAACCTTCTAATTGTAAAAAGATAAATTTTTACAATTTATCTTTCATCAAACTCTCTGCTTTGGCTTTGTCTAAAGTAAAGGATGAAAAAAATAACCTGCTTAAAAATTTTTAATAGAGTTTACCAAGATAAATTCCTTAGGTAGGTTTCATCTGGTATTCCTATTTCCAGAGACTTCACCATGTGGAAAGATGCTCGAAACTGATAATTATATAAACCTGAAGGAGAACATTTGGCTGAACATATGTAGCTGGACTTTCAACAAAGTGTGCAATGATGTTTTATAAAAGTAATGCCACCAAGCAAGAGAGAGTCCTTTTTTAAGTCATCATAAGTAATTACATAAGTTCCCACACTCAGAGGACCAATATTTACTAAGTTTCCTAATGGCATTTAGCAACAAGTCTTACTATTAAAAAAGGAGATGTACCTCAGCAAAATATTCAGGTTGTAAATGTTTAGGGAATTAAGGAGTTGGTAGGTGGTTAATAAAACAACAAGATGCATAGCTAAGGAAAAAGCAAATGAAGCAGGAGCTGTTATTGTTTTCCATAATCACCATATAAGCCAAAAAATGTGGTTTATAATTATGATGTATGCATGGATTTGTCTAGAAAGACACATTGTGGTAAGGCCTACATCAAAATAAGATCAGAAAAACCTTTTCTAGTGGTAGCTATATATCACTAACCTACTAACAAAGGTACTAACTTCAACTTGCCTTGGGACTCAGCCTATGTCAAACAAGAGTCCTCTTTTGAGGATGAAAATCAGGCAGCATTCAGCTCACTGCAACCTCCACCTCCTGGGCTCAAGCGATCCCCCCACCTCAGTCTCCCAACTAGCTGGGACTACAGGCAAGTGCCATCATGCCCGGCTAATTTTTGTAATTTTTGTAGAGACAGGGTTTCACCATGTTGCCCAGGATGGTCTCAAACTCCTGGGCTCAAGCAATCCACATGCCTCAGTCTCCCAAATTGCTGGGATTACAGGCATGAGCCACCGTGCCCAGCCTAACATGTTGCTTAATTACACGTATCGAGCGAGTATGGTGGCTTCTTAAAAAGTTAAGTATGGAATTACCACATATGGAATATAGTCCATGGAAATTCAACTTGACCTGAATTTTAAATATATATACCTATATATGCATACACACTTGTTTTATATGTGCACCATTTGAAGTTGGCATTTATTAACAGGATATTTCTATTACTCACATGAAAAAGAGTTCGTGAGGCTTTTAGGTACACCCACCTGCACTGCTTACCTTGCAAATTCACCCCAACCTCTTTCTTGCCTGTATGGATAGTCCCATTTACATTTCATATACCAGAGAAATCCTAAGTCATTTATTACTTAAAAACCAATGATGACATTTCTTGGCAAGGCCCCAACATTATTAATTTATGAGAGAAGGCTGTAGTAACTTATCCAAGAAGGCCACATGTTTTCTTCTCTGTCATCCTTGACCTCATTTGTGGCTGTGTTTCCTCCTTCCCTGAATGCATATTATCCCCATGATCCTGGAGGAAAAATGACTCATCTGCTCAAAGGTGAATGTTTTGGAATATTTATTGTTTGAGACCTGGCTGACTCATGTTTATGGCTTTTCCTGTGATTTCTCTTTTATTCAGAGTTTCCTGAGCATGATCTTTTCACCTCTCGGGACTTGTCCATGATTTTATTTCAAAGGAAATGTCCTCCCTCAAACACTACTTTCCTGAAGGGTGGCTATTTGTCCTTAAAGTCCAAGTAAATAAGAAACCCCCTCATAGAAGTTCTTCAGGGTCCTTCTTTCCATCTCTCATTGGATTAATCACAGGCATATCTGCGCTCCCAGGGTATCTTGACACAGACATCTATGGCTGCACTTTCCTCACCACATTGCAATGTCCTTCCACTCAGAGAGGAGAGAACTGTGCACTTCCCTACTAGACTGTTGCTCTTCTCCCATGGAGAGAATTTTTTTTTGTCTCTATATTATCTGCACATAAGACAATGCCAAGAACTAATAGATTCCCAATTAGTGTTTGTTCAATGTTGATTATTTGAATTCTAACATGTTGTCTATTATATTACTAGAGGAGCTGAGATTTAAATCCAGGCCTGTTGTATCCAAAGCCCATGATATTTCCCCTCCAACATATGATCTGTGTATCTGTTCACTAAGCCTCATTTTTTTCTTCCTCCTGACCACACAACTAGAGTTCATCTTCCAGTCATAAATAAACAAAAGTAAAATATGCCACTTTAAGGCGTGGCTTCTAAAAATAACTTCTGCCAATCTTGTACCATTTATTTCTTCCTTTGTTTGCTAGCTAGATTCAGAAGACCCAATAGAGGAATCCAAGACCCTAGTAAATAGCAGAGCCATTAGATAGAAAAAGTCTGGGCTCCTGAGTCACCACGTGGAGGAAGCTAGGAATATCCTAGTAGAAATATTGTGTGAGCAAAAAAGAATACTGTATGTTAGTTATTAAGCTGCTAAAAATTTTGAAGCTTTTATTCAGCAGTTAGCCTACCCTGATTAATGTACTACCAGAATTACAATTTTTATAACATTTTTCTGATTTTTAAAAGCTACATGTACACTCTAGAAAATTTAAAAATAGAAAATAATAAAAAAGAAAAATAATATTCACTACTCAGAGATAAACATTGTTTAATATTTTTGTTATACATTACACATTTTATCAGTGTTAAGGGGCAGGGGAGGAGTTAGATATAGTAGAGAGAACAAAGAGATGTTATTTAAAAGATAGAAGTAGCAGTTTTCTTAGAGAAGAGCACTATCTTGCTATCTTTTGTTCCTTGGTAAATTATTTCATTGTGAAGTGAAGTGATGGTCCCCAGGACATAGTATAGTAAGCAGAAGAATGGCAAAATTAAATTGTTTTGCCTAACAAGTAAAAGGATTTTGAGACTTTCTGGGCAATGAAAGAGCCAAACAGAGAAGTGAGAGAGAGAAGCCAGGAAGAAGTTCTCAGTGTTGGGAATTCCCAAGAGACATTCAAGAACAAGAATGTGTAGCATCTAGTCTTACATTGTTTGCCTTGTGTCCTGCTATCCCATAATGCAAACCCCTTGCTGTGACACCCCTGGATGTTCAATGAATTCTCATCTATGTAAATGTTGATATGAGTTGTGTTTTAAGAAAACTGAGGGAAAAGGCAAGAAGTGAGAACATAATAGAAGTTAGAATCTCAGGAAGACATCAGAGGAAGAGATGACAATGAAAAACATAAGACCCCCTCCCTCCTAAATAACGTTATGTACATTTGCCCAAACTTTTCATGTCCTGCTATAATACACTTTTAACAGCTGCATGCTATTCCAGCATATGACCACTCCATCACTGACTGAACCCTCCCTATATCATGCCATTTACATTCCTTTCAGTTTTTCACTGTTAAACATAGTTCCTCAGCAAACATCCTCATACGTAAAATTTGGGTCCAGGCCCATTATTTCTTGGCTTAGCCAAGGCTCCCTTTGTTTAAAGAACAAAAAAATCGCTCAAATAAGTAGAAAAGAGCTTAAGTTAAAAAGCGAAACTTAATATAAGGATCCAGGGTTATTGCACAAAACCCACAACCTTAGGTAATAGGCCTCATAAGGAACTGGAAACCCCGGATGTAAGATCACTAGAAATTGCCATCTCTGTCACTTCCCTCAGAAGACACCCATTTTCACTTTCTGCCTGTATCTGTGTGTTTGAGAGAGAGATGCAATTTATAATTCATATTTATATTAAATAAATGATAACAGATACACAGTAGGTTCTGATAGCAATCTCCAAATCCTTCTAACTAACAAAACTACTAAATGTCACACAACTAACACAACTAGGCTTTTTTTCTTATGTGTTCTGTGTCTTGTGCTTATACCTCCTTTTCTTACTCACAATCTTATTCTAGGCATTAGTCTGTGATGAGGGGAACTACTTCTCACTTCAAAAATGCACTCAGTCATTCCCTACTTATCAACACCAGAAATGATACTCACTTCTTCCACCCCATCTTTCTCACCTGAGTGCTTTGTCCATGTGAGATGATCTTTACATTTCACAAAAGAGCTTTCTTCAGTATCGGGGGTGGGGCAGCGGCAGAGGTCTGCATCTTCTCCAAAATCCTATTTGCCTTTGATGCCCACATTGGGATCTGGAGTCTGGCAGGCTCTTGATTTCATCTCTGTTCCCTACTATAATTTTTCAAGTCTTATTTGTGGTCTATGGAAATGTTTGCCTTGTTTTGAGTTGGCCAGGTACTTCCACATATCTTCTTATAAAACTTGTCTAGCATTGCTGTTTGTTTGAAGCAGACAGGATGTGTCATAGCCTGAATTCATTGTGCTGTCCACTGATAACTCTTCCCTTCCTTGTACCTAGTGGCTTTCTCTCCTCCTCAAGCTCACTGACATGAGAGTCTTTCCCTTGAGTCCAAAGAAAGGAGGCATAGGCTGGGTAGATACCACAAAAAAAGTCTCTATGCAGCCTTAAGATAAATCCCTGGAGGTGGAATTTCTGTCTCAAGGATATGAACATTTTAAAGTTTTTGGTATATATTATAAAATTGCCCTCTTGGAGGAGGAGCCAAGATGGCCGAATAGGAACAGCTCCCGTCTACAGCTCCCAGCGTGAGCGACTCAGAAGACGGGTGATTTCTGCATTTCCATCTGAGGTACCGGGTTCATCTCACTAGGGAGTGCCAGACAGTGGGCGCAGGTCAGTGGGTGTGCGCACCGTGCGTGAGCCGAAGCAGGGCGAGGCATTGCCTCACTTGGGAAGTGCAATGGATCAGGGAGTTCCCTTTCCGAGTCAAAGAAAGGGGTGACGGACGCACCTGGAAAATCGGGTCACTCCCACCCGAATATTGCGCTTTTCGGACTGGCATAAAAAACGGCGCACCACGAGATTATATCCCGCACCTCGCTCGGAGGGTCCTACGCCCACGGAGTCCTCTCACTGATTGCTAGCACAGCAGTCTGAGATCAAACTGCAAGGCAGCAGCAAGGCTGGGGGGAGGGGTGCCCGCCATTGCCCAGGCTTCCTTAGGTAAACAAAGCAGCCTGGAAGCTCGAACTGGGTGGAGCCCACCACAGCTCAAGGAGGCCTGCCTGCCTCTGTAGGCTCCACCTCTGGGGGCAGGGCACAGACAAACAAAAAGACAGCAGTAACCTCTGCAGACTTAAATGTCCCTGTCTGACAGCTTTGAAGAGAGCAGTGGATCTCTCAGCATGCAGCTGGAGATCTGAGAATGGGGAGATTGCCTCCTCAAGTGGGTCCCTGACCCCTGACCCCCGAGCAGCCTAACTGGGAGGCACCCCTCAGCAGGGGCACACTGACACCTCACACGGCAGGGTATTCCGACAGACCTGCAGCTGAGGGTCCTGTCTGTTAGAAGGAAAACTAACAAACAGAAAGGACATCCACACCAAAAACCCATCTGTACATCACCATCATCAAAGACCAAAAGTAGATAAAACCACAAAGATGGGGAAAAAACAGAACAGAAAAACGGGAAACCCTAAAACGCATAGCGCTTCTCCTCCTCCAAAGGAATGCAGTTCCTCACCAGCAACAGAACAAAGCTGGATGGAGAATGACTTTGACGAGGTGAGAGAAGAAGGCTTCAGACGATCAAATTACTCTGAGCTACGGGAGGACATTCAAACCAAAGGCAAAAAAGTTGAAAACTTTGAAAAAAATTTAGAAGAATGTATAACTAGAATAACCAATACAGAGAAGTGCTTAAAGGAGCTGATGGAGCTGAAAACCAAGGCTCGAGAACTACGTGAAGAATGCAGAAGCCTCAGGAGCCGATGCGGTCAACTGGAAGAAAGGGTATCAGCAATGGAAGATGAAATGAATGAAATGAAGCGAGAAGGGAAGTTTAGAGAAAAAAGAATAAAAAGAAATGAGCAAAGCCTCCAAGAAATATGGGACTATGTGAAAAGACCAAATCTACGTCTGATTGGTGTACCTGAAAGTGATGGGGAGAATGGAACCAAGCTGGAAAACACTCTGCAGGATATTATCCAGGAGAACTTCCCCAATCTAGCAAGGCAGGCCAACGTTCAGATTCAGGAAATATGGAGAACGCCACAAAGATACTCCTTGAGAAGAGCAATTCCAAGACACATAATTGTCAGATTCACCAAAGTTGAAATGAAGGAAAAAGTGTTAAGGGCGGCCAGAGAGAAAGGTGAGTTACCCTCAAAGGGAAGCCCATCAGACTAACAGCAGATCTCTCAGCAGAAACCCTACAAGCCAGAAGAGAGTGGGGGCCAATATTCAACATTCTTAAAGAAAAGAATTTTCAACCCAGAATTTCATATCCAGTCAAACTAAGATTCATAAGTGAAGGAGAAATAAAATACTTTACAGACAAGCAAATGCTGAGAGATTTTGTCACCACCAGGCCTGCCCTAAAAGAGCTCCTGAAGGAAGCGCTAAACATGGAAAGGAACAACCGGTACCAGCCACTGCAAAATCATGCCAAAATGTAAAGACCATCCAGACTAGGAAGAAACTGCATCAACTAACGAGCAAAATCACCAGCTAACATCATCATGACAGGATCAAATTCACACATAACAATATTAACTTTAAATGTAAATGGACTAAATGCTCCAATTAAAAGACACAGACTGGCAAATTGGATAAAGAGTCAAGACCCATCAGTGTGCTGTATTCAGGAAACCCATCTCACGTGTAGAGACACATATAGGCTCAAAATAAAAGGATGGAGGAAGATCTACCAAGCAAATGGAGAACAAAAAAAGGCAGGGGTTGCAGTCCTAGTCTCTGATAAAACAGACTTTAAACCAACAAAGATCAAAAGAGACAAAGAAGGCCATTACATAATTGTAAGGGGATCAATTCAACAAGAAGAGTTAACTATCCTAAATATATATGCACCCAATACAGGAGCACCCAGATTCATAAAGCAAGTCCTGAGTGACCTACAAAGAGACTTAGACTCCCACACATTAATAATGGGAGACTTTAACACCCCACTGTCAACATTAGACAGATCAATGAGACAGAAAGTCAACAAGGATACCCAGGAATTGAACTCAGCTCTGCACCAAGCAGACCTAATAGACATCTACAGAACTCTCCACCCCAAATCAACAGAATATACATTTTTTTCAGCACCACACCACACCTATTCCAAAATTGACCACATACTTGGAAGTAAAGCTCTCCTCAGCAAATGTAAAAGAACAGAAATTACAACAAACTATCTCTCAGACCACAGTGCAATCAAACTAGAACTCAGGATTAAGAATCTCACTCAAAACCGCTCAACTACATGGAAACTGAACAACCTGCTCCTGAATGACTACTGGATACCTAACGAAATGAAGGCAGAAATAAAGATGTTCTTTGAAACCAATGAGAACAAAGACACAACATACCAGAATCTCTGGGACACATTCAAAGCAGTGTGTAGAGGGAAATTTATAGCACTAAATGCCCACAAGAGAAAGCAGGAAAGATCCAAAATTGACACCCTAACATCACAATTAAAAGAACTAGAAAAGCAAGAGCAAACACATTCAAAAGCTAGCAGAAGGCAAGAAATAACTAAAATCAGAGCAGAACTGAAGGAAATAGAGACACAACAAACCCTTCAAAAAATTAATGAATCCAGGAGCTGGTTTTTTGAAAGGATCAACAAAATTGATAGACTGCTAGCAAGACTAATAAAGAAAAAAAGAAGAGAAGAATCAAATAGACACAATAAAAAATGATAAAGGGGATATCACCACCGATCCCACAGAAATACAAACTACCATCAGAGAATACTACAAACACCTCTATGCAAATAAACTAGAAAATCTAGAAGAAATGGATAAATTCCTCGACACATACACTCTCCCAATACTAAACCAGGAAGAAGTTGAATCTCTGAATAGACCAATAACAGGATCTGAAATTGTGGCAATAATCAATAGTTTACCAACCAAAAAGAGTCCAGGACCAGATGGATTCACAGCCGAATTCTACCAGAGGTACAAGGAGGAACTGGTACCACTCCTTCTGAAACTATTCCAATCAATAGAAAAAGAGGGAATCCTCCCTAACTCATTTTATGAGGCCAGCATCATTCTGATACCAAAGCCTGGCAGAGACACAACCAAAAAAGAGAATTTTAGACCAATATCCTTGATGAACATTGATGCAAAAATCCTCAATAAAATACTAGCAAAACGAATCCAGCAGCACATCAAAAAGCTTATCCACCACGTTCAAGTGGGCTTCATCCCCTGGGATGCAAGGCTGGTTCAATATATGCAAATCAATAAATGTAATCCAGCATATAAACAGAACCAAAGACAAAAACCACATGATTATCTCAATAGATGCAGAAAAAGCCTTTGACAAAATTCAACAACGCTTCATGCTAAAAACTCTCAATAAATCAGGTATTGATGGGACGTATCTCAAAATAATAAGAGCTATCTATGACAAACCCACAGCCAATATCATACTGAATGGGCAAAAACTGGAAGCATTCCCTTTGAAAACTGGCACAAGACAGGGATGCCCTCTCTCACCACTCCTATTCAACATAGTGTTGGAAGTTCTGGCCAGGGCAATTAGGCAGGAGAAGGAAATAAAGGGTATTCAATTAGGAAAAGAGGAAGTCAAATTGTCCCTGTTTGCAGAAGACATGATTGTATATCTAGAAAACCCCATTGTCTCAGCCCAAAATCTCCTTAAGCTGATAAGCAACTTCAGCAAAGTCTCAGGATACAAAATCAATGCACAAAAATCACAAGCATTCTTATACACCAATAACAGACAAACAGAGAGCCAAATCATGAGTGAAATCCCATTCACAATTGCTTCAAAGAGAATAAAATACCTAGGAATCCAACTTACAAGGGATGTGAAGGACCTCTTCAAGGAGAACTACAAACCACTGCTCAAGGAAATAAAAGAGGATACAAACAAATGGAAGAACATTCCATGCTCATGGGTAGGAAGAATCAATATCGTGAAAATGGCCATACTGTCCAAGGTAATTTACAGATTCAATGCCATCCCCATAAAGCTACCAACGACTTTCTTCACAGAATTGGAAAAAACTACTTTAAAGTTCATATGGAACCAAAAAAGAGCCCGCATCACCAAGGCAATCCTAAGCCAAAAGAACAAAGCTGGAGGCATCACACTACCTGACTTCAAACTATACTACAAGGCTACAGTAACCAAAACAGCATGGTACTGGTACCAAAACAGAGATATAGATCAATGGAACAGAACAGAGCCCTCAGAAATAACGCCGCATATCTACAACTATCTGATCTTTGACAAACCTGAGAAAAACAAGCAATGGGGAAAGGATTCCCTATTGAATAAATGGTGCTGGGAAAACTGGCTAGCCTTATGGAGAAAGCTGAAACTGGATCCCTTCCTTACACCTTATACAAAAATCAATTCAAGATGGATTAAAGACTTAAACGTTAGACCTAAAACCATAAAAACCCTAGAAGAAAACCTAGGCATTACCATTCAGGACATAGGCATGGGCAAGGACTTCACGTCCAAAACACCAAAAGCAATGGCAACAAAAGCCAAAATTGACAAATGGGATCTAATTAAACTAAAGAGCTTCTGCACAGCAAAAGAAACTACCATCAGAGTGAACAGGCAACCTACAAAATGGGAGAAAATTTTCGCAACCTACTCATCTGACAAAGGGCTAATATCCAGAATCTACAATGAACACAAACAAATTTACAAGAAAAAAACAAACAACCCCATCAAAAAGTGGGCGAAGGACATGAGCAGACACTTCTCAAAAGAAGACATTTATGCAGCCAAAAAAACACATGAAAAAATGCTCATCATCACTGGCCATCAGAGAAATGCAAATCAAAACCACAATGAGATACCATCTCACACCAGTTACAATGGCGATGATTTAAAAGTCAGGAAACAACAGGTGCTGGAGAGGATGTGGAGAAATAGGAACACTTTTACACTGTTGGTGGGACTGTAAACTAGTTCAACCATTGTGGAAGTCAGTGTGGCGATTCCTCAGGGATCTAGAACTAGAAATACCATTTGACCCAGCCATCCCATTACTGGGTATATACCCAAAGGACTATAAATCATGCTGCTATAAAGACACATGCACACGTATGTTTATTGCGGCATTATTCACAATAGCAAAGACTTGGAACCAACCCAAATGTCCAACAATGATAGACTGGATTAAGAAAATGTGGCACATATACACCATGGAATACTATGCAGCCATAAAAAATGATGAGTTCATGTCCTTTGTAGGGACATGGATGAAATTGGAAATCATCATTCTCAGTAAACTATCTCAAGAACAAAAAACCAAACACAGCATATTCTCACTCATAGGTGGGAATTGAACAATGAGATCACATGGACACAGGAAGGGGAATATCACACTCTGGGGACTGTGGTGGGGTGGGGGGAGGGGGGAGGGATAGCATTAGGAGATATACCTAATGCTAGATGACGAGTTAGTGGGTGCAGCACACCAGCATGGCACATGTATACATATGTAACTAACCTGCACAATATGCACATGTACCCTAAAACTTAAAGTATATTAAAAAAATAAAAAAATTAAAATAAAAATAAAAAAATAAAAAAATAAAATAAAATAAAATTGCCCTTTTAAATCGTTAAATCAAGTTATGCTTCTACTGGTATGAGATAGTAGCCAACACTAGGTCCTCTTAGGAGCTGTGAGTAGTAATTGGCATTTATTCAACATTACCTCTGATGAGGTAGACTCCTGCATTACCTTCCTCTTTCATTATGGTCATCCTTCAGGGAAAGCAGTGCTGAGATAATAGCTTGTCCCTTCCTGAATGTTGATCCCAGAGCTCTCTTCCTGATACTCTGCATCTTTGGACTGCCTTCATGTTCTTGCATAAATGCATGTGGGCATATAGGATACCAAGTCATTGCTATCTAGAACCTGTGGTCTAAGTAGTAGTAGTTTAGTACAAATTTTACCAGAAAATCTGATGCTAGTTCCAGGTTGCACAGCTTTCTAAAAGCATATAGGCATGTGTGTTAGTCCATTTTCTATTGCTATAAAATAATACCTCAGACTGGGTAATTTATAAGGAAAAAAGGTTTATTTTGGCTCAGGGTTCTGCAGGCTGTACAAGAAACATGGTGCCAGCACCTGCTTTTGGTGAGGCCTCAGGAAGCTTCCAGTCATGGCAGAAGGCAAATGGGGAGCCAGCATATTATATAGAAAGAGAGAAAGCAAGAGTGGAGGGAGGTGTCATACTTTTTAAACAACCAGATCTCATGTGAACTAACAGAGTGAGAACTCACTCATTACCTTGAGGGCAGCATCAAGTCATTCATGAGGGATCTGCTCCCATAACCCAAACACCTCCCACTAGGCCCACCGTCAACATTTGAAGGTCACATTTCAACACGAGATTTGGAAGGGATAAAACATCCAAACCATATCAGCACGTGTTTATAAATTTTTATTATTTATAATGTCTGGAATAAGCATTAGGGCCTTAAAAGGAATGTTGTGAGAATACCCAATGTCAAATTCAGGTGATGTAGCTTTCTAAAGGCAATATTTATAACCACTCAAAGCAATTATGCTGGAATTTTAGAGGATTTTGTTTGGGATACAAGAGACCTGGCCAGCTCCCACTGACATGTCCCCTAACCTGGCTAAACCTTGTCCTGGACAGGCAGAGCCAACAATCCACATCTTTACGTATAAGAAATTAGGAAGCAATATCCATTTAGTATACCCAGCTTGATATCTCCTGGTTTTGTATACAAAGAATGCATCGTGAGAATGTATTCTTTGCACTGTTCTCAACAAATAGTTGTATATGAATTGGTGTCAAATGGCCCACTTCCGCCAAGCTTTTATGGGACTACTATTCGCACACATTGTCCCATCAAATCCTCATAACACCTGAGCAAATATTTTTGTTCTTCCCATTTCACAAATGAGAAAACTGAGGGTACTGACCTGACAAATAACCAGTGTAAATTGTACAGTGGAAGTTTGTGGCTTCTGCCTGTAGGCTCAATTTTCCCCTGCTCATGGTATTTGCATGTGGATTTTGTTTAAAAGCAAGTTCATCTTGTCAGTCAGAATGCAGGTGGTGTGAACTCCACATTACCTTTGGGGATGTCCATGTAACTCAGAGCAGACCAACCCATCTTCTGATCACAGATAATGGTTCAGGGAAGGGCTATATTAGAAGGGAATAACTCTTTCCTTAAGCTTGATGTTTCCCTTACATTTTAAAGACATGTAAACATTGTAATCACTCCTCTTTTCTCACTCAGCCCAAGAGGAGGTATACAGAGGTATCTAGTTCTTACAGTAGGGAAAAAAATACTGGGCATATTCCTATGCCCAGCATTAGAAAATACATATGCAACTCCATGTATTTTCTCAAGAGCTAGGTCTGTGGGAACACAGAGTTCTGCTCTGCTTGGCCAGGGGCAGGCTAAGTAAGCCCTTAGTGGGGAAGGAAAGGCTGCAGGAAAGACGGGAGCCAGTCTAACACTGTCATGACTGGTGGCTAATCTACAACATTCTCAGGTTATTATTAAACTCACTTAAACTCTAAGATTATCCTCTACATTCTCTTTCACCAGCAACAAGGTTGATGTTTTATATCTCTGCCTTATTGAGCCAGACAAGTACATGGCCCAATCAGAGCTGATTCTCAAGTGTTTGCAGGGGGAATAGGGCAGAGGGGAGGAAGGCATGTGCTTTCCACTGGACTTGAGTGGGAAAGGCTGGAGCCTGCACATTTAGGGGCTGCCAGAGGAAGGCAGGGCCAAGTCAAAGAGAAGAGCCAGGTCCTGCTGACATTGGATGAGTTCCTGAAACCAGTTGTTCCTGAAGACAACTCTATAATTTAGACTTCCAAATTGATTATCCAATAAATTCTATTTTTTGCTTAAGCTGGTTTGAGTTGGATTTTCGGCCACTTCCAATAAAAAGAGTTAATACACAGAAATTATCAAAAGGATGTTAAGTAAAAAGGCATAAGGTTGATGTTACTGGAGCTTGGCGAAGGAAGTTCAGGCTTGGGATGAACTTCATGGAGAAGCTCTTACTTTGGATCAGTTAAAGACACAATCATTTGAGAATTTGTATAATGAGTACAATGTACATTATTCCAGTGGTAGACTAAAAGCTGAGACTTTACCACTATGCAATATATCCATGTAACAAAATTGCACTGGTACCCCTTATATTTATACAAATAAAAATTTTTAAAAAGACACACTCATTGATTACCGTTGTATACTAAGATATCAAAATGAATAAAATAAAGTCTCTGTTTGCAAGTTATTTCCTGTTATTTAGTAGCGGAGGATGAACCCGTGAAAGATAGTTTCCATGCTAGGTGGTAGGTTCAGCAGCACAGTGTTATGAGGGCACACAGTAAGAGCACATTGCCCATGCATAGATGCTGGAGGAAGGATTTGTCAGAAGATGACACCTGAACTGCTTAATGAAAGGTGAATAGGAGTTAGCTGTGAGGAGATGGCAGGATAGGGCTTTCCAGACAAAAGGAAATTAAGCTGCTCAGGCAGAGGAGTATAAAATAGTATGATGTTGGGAGACAGAATGGTACTGACTTTGGATTGTTGGGCCTTGAAGGATGAGGAGGAAGCTGTGAGCATATGGTCATGTATCTAGAGCATCTGATTCACACAAGGGAGGAGCTGGAAACACACCAGAAAAGTACAATGTCATGAGACTTTAGAGAACCCTAAATGCCAAGATAGGCAATAAAATTTGACCTTATAATAATTGATAAGGTAAAACTGAAGCAGTGCTTTCAGCAGAGAATTCTATGATAAAAACAAAGTTTTAGAAAAAGTAATCTGGCAATAGTTTAGAGTGTGAATTGGATGATAAAATGCCAGCTAGAAGACTAGTCCAACTGAGAGGTAATGAGTACCACTGTGAGGAAGCGAGGGCCTGACCTGATGTAGCTGAAATGAAATGAGGATGGATAAAAGAAGGAAAGTTAACTATCAGTATTTACTCCAATTTTATAATGTTTGGCTTAAAAGTAGGCATCATGAAAAAAATTTTCTCCTCTGTTTGTATGGTGGCTTATATATAAATATGTTTTTCTCTATAGAGTTCATAAATTCCTCTAGAGCAGGGACCGTGCTGGTTCTTTGTGTTTCTCTTGGTGCACAGTAGGTATTTAATCTATATTAGAGACTTTAATTGAATTCTCAAATCGGTTTTTGCTAGTTTTATTCTTTTTTATCTTCTTCAAATATATGTCTATGTTTAATTGACAAAGTTATATTGTTTGCATTGTTATAAGAGTCAATTTAAAAATGAGTTCAATATACCACTGATCCAGGAAAGAGACTACACAGTGATTATATTATTGTTTACCAAAGAACTATAAGAATATGTATAATCCCATTTATCTGTTTGAGTCTCCCAAGGTGAAAAATGATAATATTATTTTGAAAAACACCTGGATGCTGGGATAACTGGATAGCCATATGCAGAACAATGAAACTGTATACCTTTCATCATATATGAAAATTAACTGAAAATGGATTAAAGATTTAAATGTAAGACCTCAAACTGTAAGAATCCTAGAAGGAAACCTAGCAAACACTATTCTGGACATTGGCATTGGGAAAGAATTTTTGGCTAAGTCCTCAAAAGCAATTGTGACAAAAACAAAAATTGGCAAGTGGAGCCTAATTAAACTAAAGAGCTTCTGCACAGCATACATAAATAAATAAAATTAAATTAAACCTATCAACAGAGTAAACAGACAACCTACAGAATGGGACAAAATATTCACAAACTATGCATCTGACAAAGGTCTAGTATCCAGAATCTGTAAGGATCTTAAACAATTCAACAAGCAAAAAACAAACAATCCTATTAAAAAGTGGACAAACGACATGCACAGATACTTCTCAACAGAAGACATACAAGCTGCCAACAAACATATGAGAAAATGCTCAACATCACTGATCATCAGAGAAATGCAAATCAAAACCATAACAAGATATACCATCTCACACCACTCAAAATGCTATTATTAAAAAGTCAAAAAAACAGCAGATACTAGTGAGGCTGTGGAGTAAAGGGAATGGTTATTCACTGTTGGAAGGAATGTAAATTAGTTTAGCCACTGTGGAAAGCAGTTTAAAGATTTTTCAAAGAACTAAGAGTTGAACAACCATTCAACCCAGAAATCCCATTACTAGGTATATGCCCCAAAGAAAATAAATCATTCTACCAAAAAGACACTATGCACCCATATGTCATTGCAGCACTATTCACAATAGCAAAGACATAAAATCAAACAAGATGTCCATCAGCAGTTGATTAGATTAGGAAAATGTGGTACATATACACCATGGAATGCTATGCAGCCATAACAAGAATGAAATCATGTCCTTTGCAGCAATATGGATGCAGATGGAGGCCATTATCCTAAGCAAATTAATGCAGGAACAGAAACCAAATACTGCATGTTCTAACTTACAAGTGGGAGCTGAACACTGGGTACTCATGGACATAAAGATGGGAACAATAGGCATTGGGGACTACTAGAGGTGGGGAGGAAGGGAGGGAGGCAAGGGTTGAAAAATAAACTATTGGGTACTATGCTCACTTCTTCAGTGACAAATTCAATCATATCCCAAACCTTAGCATCACACAATATGACCATGTAACAAATTTGCACATATACCCTCTTTATCTAAAATAAAAGTTGAAATTATTTTTTTAAAAAACCTGGAGATTCCAGGTTAAAAAGACTGAGGAGCAATTAGATATGGGTCCTAATCTCAATAAGTGCATAAGAGGGAAATGAAGATGACAATATAACAATATAGATCATCCTCTTAAATTTAGGATTATAATAAATTCTAAGGCCAGGGAATGTTAAGGTTTTAGGAGAAGAACCATGGTTTAACACATAAATAAGATGCTGCTCTCAAGTATATTTTCTTTTACCTAGCATTGTTTTTAATTGGGAGGCCTGTTTAAAAGGAAAACCAATGGTTTAAAAACAAACAAAAGAAAAGTAAGCAGTGGTACCGCTAACGCTAACTTCAACACCAATAACTGAAGCCAACCCCTTGGCCTTGCTGCTGATAAAGATGTGAGTGCTCTGAGCTCCTGACATATGTCCTGTTGATTAATGCAGTTCATGGAAGAATTGTCACTTCAGCTGATGTCCTGAATTTCTACAGCTGATAGAACCATGGTTCTCAAATTTTAATGAGCAGAAGACTTACCTGCACTAATTTTACCAATTGCAGACTTCATCCCCAGAGAGTCTAATTCAATAGATCTGCAGTGAAAATCTTTCACTGATCACACACCCTAGATGATTGTGAAGCAGGAGATCCATAGACCATGTTTTAATGATCACTTACTCTCTAGGTTTTTTAGGACATAAACACCTGGATTCAGAGTGTGAATCTGACTCTGTGATGTGAGCTCCAATTGAGGTATAGTGGCACAGCTAAAAGAAAGATTAATTTTGCTTAATGAAAAGGGAGGCAAAAGAAGAATACAAGGAATCCCTAAAGAGAAGATGATATTTGACCTGTGATTTAAAAGATAAGAAGAAGGCCGGGCATGATGGCTCATGCCTATAATCCTAGCACTTTGGGAGGCCAAAGTGGGCAGATCACCTGAGGTCAGGAGTTCAAGACCAGTCTGGCCAACATGGTGAAACCCTGTTTCTACCAAAAATACAAAATTAGCCAGGCATGGTGGCGGGCGCCTGTAGTGCCAGCTACTCGGGAGGCTGAGGCACGAGAATTGCTTGAACCTGGGAGGCAGAAGTTGCAGTGAGCCGAGATCACAATGCCACACTCCAGCCTGGGTGACAAGAGCGAAACTCTATCTCAAAAAATTAAAATTAAAATTAAAAAAAAAAGATGAGAGGAAATTTTCCAACTAGGAAGGAGCAAAAAGAGAAAGAACAAGGAATAAGGAAAATGCCTACAGAAGAATGGCAGATCAGATGGCAAAATATGAAACCACAGCGATAGACTTGGGCCAGTTTACGCAGAGCTTTGTGTTCTGTGACACATAATTTATCTTGTGGCTGTTGGTTCCCAAATGAAACAGCTGTACCAGAAATCTTCTGAGGCATTTATTAAAATTCCCAGGGTCTCCAGTAGAGCTACTGAATCAAATCCCTTGAGGAGAGATCTGAGTATCTGGAGTTTTAAGAAGGGTTCCCAGCACTCTGATAAGCAGCCAGTATAACTACTGGTAGACCAAGGGCTAGTCTGAGCCCTCATCTAAGGGCTCTAAGCATCTAAGTGCTTCAGAGAATGCAGCATCCGAGAGTTGCTGTCAGGAATGATCCAGCAAGGGGAGGAAATCATAGTTGAGAGGTTCCATAGCCAGAAATAGGTCAGCGCCAGAAAATTTCCATAGAGAAAGGCATAGATGACAAAGATGTGAGTTAAGTGAGTGAGCTGGACTACAAAAGCAGAAGGTATGGACACAGAAGGCAGTTTCTGGAAATAAAGGCAAAGTACAACAGAGAGTTGTCCTATGTGAGATGAGACAAAGATGGACTTCTGATGTGTATGAGGTGCTGCCAGAGATGGCTTAACAGCAGCCATCCTTAATCCAGCTGATGCCTTTCAGCTGGAGTTGAAAAGGTATCCAGTTCAGTTAGCAGTTGAAAAGACAAAGCTAGGAAAACATCAGGAAAAAATATCAGAGTTGGAGTTTGAACATTATGGTTCAATAGAAACTACAGAAGTAGATGGCATTGCTGGAGAGGTAAAAACGGACTTTTAAGGGACAGAGTAGATTTTTTAAAAGGCATTGAATTGGCAAGAGGAGGAGGGAGTAATGTGAACTGTCTTTTGTAAATACATGGGATGTAGGATTGAACCGTTTCCATTATCTAAGCATGTAGAACCGTTCTTTAAACTACCAGTAGATGGTGCCATAGTTTTGGAAAATAATAAAGGTAAACAAAGCCAATAATGTTACATGTAAAAACCTTGTCTTATGTTAACTTAAAAAAAAATAGGATTTATAAATGTAGATTTAGAAAAGGAAAGACTTTGTTTCTTCTAAAGGCATTTAGAAAAATGCCTCCCGCAAGACCAGAGACAGGCACTTCACAGGAGGAGTGCTTGGAGTGGGAGCTTTATGCTGAACAGGTTGGCTAAACGTACATATTCAACAGGTATAGGAGGAGCTATGAATATTCATGAGGGTGGTCCTGACACATATTGGATGTTACATGCTTATTGAACAAACATGCATGTAACATGACCCATGTTTACTTTGGGGTGGAGACTTAACATTTAAATGTATTTACAATTAGGCCCTATAAATCAAAAGTTTCTTTCAGGGCAGGAAGGCATACAAGTGCACAATATCTGTAAACCGCCCAGAACCAGTCCATGGTCCATGATCTTCTGATCAGGAGAAAGTTATTGAAATCAGTCTCTTGTCCAATCAAAGCTATAGCTATGGCTGGTGGAACAGGGAGTGGGTGGAACAGGGAGTGGGGGTCAGAATCTGGTAGAGGTGCAAATTGTTTTAATATTGCTTATCTCGAAGCCAGTGCTTGTTTAGCTGACAGAGAAAAAGAAAAACCTAGTTTATTACTTAAGTGTAGGGGGTGCGTGAATTAATCCTTGCCTGGCATGGCCTTAGGTCCTGTTTGTATCATGGTGTAATATGGTATCTTACTGCCACGAAGAGTTTGTTCTGTCAGTCTTATGATCTCTATTTTAACATTAATGCTGATCAGTTGTTCTGTCTAAACCATAAAAGAGAAAGGGTTTAATGAGATGTGTCTGACCTCCCATTCCATCATGGCTGGGAACTCAGTTTTAAGGTTTTCCTGGAGTTCTCTTGGGCACAATGGGGGTTTGTTCAGTTGGTGGGGAAGGGGGGTAGGATTTTATTTTAAGTTTATATTAAAAATAAATAAATAAATAAAACTTATGATAAGGAATGACTAAAGCCAAATTAAGATAACATATCAATACCTGAAGGCTTATTTATTGTTCAAGACTCATATTCTCAGAACTTTATACTCCATTTTAGTTTTAATTTGTGACCAATAAATTGCATAATGTGGGGATGGTTCACATGATCATCAAAACCACAAACAACATAAAAACTTTGAAGAATATGGAATATGGCTGTCAGTTTTAAAATGTTCACTTGCTATAAAGAAGCTAGCCACTTTCATAGTGTTATGACTATCATGAGTTCCAAGCACTTTTGCCTTCAGAGCCCCTTCCTTCATTGAAAAGAATACACATACACACACACATGCACACACACAATTATATTTTGTGACTGCTTTGGTATACACCCCAGGCTGGATTAATTATTAAATATTATCATTATATCTTTCCTTCTGAATTAGAAATAAAATTCATATATTTTTGTGGGCCCCTAAAAATATTGTGAGCACTATACACTTTGTACAGTAATTAAGTCCATACAATGGATGTCTAGCTACCATAAAAATGAAACTTAAATAGAAAATTAAATAGAAAGTAAAAATAAATAGAAAGTAAAACTAGAGGGAGACAATGACTTTGAGGGCAAGTTGTCCATGGCAAAATTGAAATTCTTTGGAAGTTTTATGTGCTATCTTAAAATCATATCCAAATATTACAAAAGATGTATTTTAAATTGCTTATCAGGGAAAAAGAAGAAAAACAAAATTTCTTACCTGATTCATTGGTTAATGGATAAGGTAATATTGCAGAGTTGCCTTGTCCCTGAAAATTATTACCCAAAACTTACTGCTGAAAGCAGCAGAATTAAGTATGTCATGAGATATTGATCAAGTACAGTTCCAACAGGAAGAAGAACCGATTTATGGAAAAGAATATTTTTATTTTGAGAGTTCTAAGATTCTTTTTTGTAAAGAGGGGAAGGATGGAAGCAGAAGAGAGCTGCTATTATTTTTCTTAGTTTCTAATTTGGAAAAAGGAAGTGTATGACTGCAACATTTGAGAGTCTAAAATTTTAAGAAAGGGCCTACATAGTACAATAATAGCAATTTTAAATATAATCCAAAATCAAGAGTCAGAGAATTGGAGAGTAGGAGGGGCTGGTAATAGGGATTCCTGGAGAAGCAAAGAGAGAAATTCTAGGGCATTCTGAGAGATATAAAGTGAGATGAAGCAGCTTTGGGTGTCTGCAGGCCAGGAATCATGGTCAAGGATCAAAACTCAGGAATAGGGGCCACCCTCCTACTGGGTGATGACTTTGAACACCATCCTTGCTGTGGAAATTGTTTAAATTTAACCTATATCCTGTGATTTTTGCTCAACTTCAAGTATTGACGGAGAATGTTTTAGCTTTTAATTTGTCCTTAATCTTTTACATATTAAAATAGTACTTCATCTAAAGCTTTATGTTGTCAAACAAAAGAGTTCTTTATTCAAATTGTAATGGCAAAATTTGCCTTTTTAAAAACTCTGATTTTCTTTCAATGTTCATACTTTATAAAGATAAGGTGGGGGGATGTTCATTTACCTAGTTGATTTACACCATAATGTCTATTTTTGCCAAAGAGTTTGTTTCCCCTCTTTACCCCATGAGAGATGGAGAAGGAGTCGGGTAGGTTGGGGATAGGATGTTCAATGAGCACTTTGCACAGGGAAGACAAGCAATATAGAATTTTTATGGACCTCCAAACAATCCTGACCTTTGGCAGTTCCACTCTGACATGAATAAGTGTAAGGCAAGTCATATAGCATTTAACATTTGCCTTCCATTCTATCTATCAAGTTTGCACTACATCCACCATGAAGAGTGAATTCCCTGATGGGCAGCCATTAAGAGAGGCAGTAGAGAGTTTAGAATCAAATTGCCTGGGTTCAGATCTGGTCACTGCTACTTAATGGCTATATAATCTTAGGCAAGTGAGTTAGCTTCTCTAAGCCTCAGTGTCATTATCCATAAAATGGAGATAATGACAACATCTACATTATAAATAATAATGAGGATTAAATGAGATAATCCATAAATAAGCTCATAGCACTTGGCACAGAATAAAAGTTCTAAATTAGGTATTGGCCGTATTATTTGCTATTCCAAGAAACAGCACTCAGAACACGTCTGTTAAGGATGGCTGAGGCTCTGTGTGTCACTCAGAAAAGAGCTGGGGGCAGAGGAGCAACCCCAAGGCCTCTGCCAAAAGCAACTTGAAAGTTAAACTCGTGTTTTTGTCCAATGGCATTGAACAAGAAATAAAAGGTCAACCGCCATTTCCTCTGGAATCTGGCTTGTGAT